>NC_000007.14:49634181-49937211 GCF_000001405.40 Homo sapiens | reverse complement strand
TATGTTCACTAGATCCAGGCCACCATATTCTTGTATAATAACTTTAATTTCAGTTTGTTTCTTTCTTTTGATTTAAATTTATAGGATTTTATTCATTCTAGTTTCACCTTTCACAGTTTAAAGCCATATTTAAAGCCTGTGGTCTTATTGCAATTTTTAGCCTCTTTAATATAAGGCCTAGTTCCAACCACCCTGTGGATTTTTTAATATAGTTCAGTGTGACTATCTTAAACTTTTCAGTTTTAAGTCTCTTAAATTACCTTTTTGGCATTTTAGAATGGAGTAATTATTGTATGTGCCTAAATTAATAGTTGAACTTTCTTAGTGGAAAGAGAGAATGAAAAAAAGCAATTTCTTTCCCTGACAACCCCTCTAGAAAAAATAATCAACAATCATCACAACCTTTATTTTATTTCTTCCACTATGAAAATGAATATTATATAACAGATATTAATTACTCATACCATCACTAATACTTATCTTGTCTCACATTGGGATTTATCAAAAATTAAAAGACTTAAATTCTAGGAAAATACATGAGTAATTTAGAAAATGAGTAGTTTCTCAATTTTTCCAATTATTGTTTCATTTATATTTGTATCAGCTTTCTCTCTCCAGCATGCACTGTTTTGCTCTTCATATTTCCTCTCTTAAGACATAAACGTTTGTAAATGGCAAACATACCCTATGCTGGATCTGGGCACAAATGTGCAATACATTGGCAGGAGGACAGTTCACCTATACCTAGGATGTGTTAGACTTTTAAAAATGAACTAGTTGATAAACTAGCCTCTCATTTTTCCATGCTATGTACAAATATAACTCTAGAATTCTCACACAGACACAAAGGGAAGATAAATGACATGTGGCTCTACTTTGTTATTAGCCCTGGTAATGTTTTCTAAAAAAATTCCTTGGGTTTTCATCATTATGATGTAATTGTTTTTATACGGTTTAGAGATGTTTTTCAAGTGCCTTCTTTCCTCTAGTAAGTGACATATTCACATTACACTGTTCGGGTGAGTTACTATTCTTCCCAAAATTGCTAACACATGTATTTTGTAAAGAGTAAAAGACTTACTACATCTCCATCTCTAAAAGCAGTGTAATCTAAAGTTTCCAAATTTCTTAATTGTATAATAAATAATGGATTAGAATACATGTTCTTTCCTTTTTGTTCCTTATGTTTGCTTACTTTTTTCCTATATTTAAAATCTTTAATAATTTAACTTACAATGCATTTTTCTGAGGCATGAACAGCACCCCATCAACAGCCTGGGAAAGCAGAGGCAGAGTTGTTACGCACATGCTAAGTACTGGGGATCAGAATGCAATCACGAAGAGATATGTGACCCCAGATAAGAGGAGATGAACAACAGGAGTGGGATGAGAGCAAATCATGGATTTTTAGCTACTGGCACACCAGAATGAGACCACACAAATATCTGAAGGCAGAACAAGGTAAGACTTGTAAAGTCCAGGCAAAGAAAACAAGCTGTAGAAATTGATGCAAAGGGCCGAGCGCGGTGGCTCACGCCTGTAATCCCAGCTCTTTGGGAGGCAGAGGCTGGCGGATCACAAGGTCAGGAGTTCGAGACCAGTCTGGCCAACATGGTGAAACCCCAACTCTACTAAAAATACAAAAATTAGCCGGGCGTGGTGGTGTGTGACTGTAGTCCCAGCTACTCAGGAGGCTGAGGCAGGAGAATCGCTTGAAACCAGAAAGCGGAGTGTGCAGTGAGCTGAGATCACGCCACTGCACTCCAGGTTGGCAACAAGAGTGAAACTCCGTCTCAAAAAATAATAATATTAATAATAAATAAATAAATTGAAGTAAAGGACAAAATAGGAGAAGGAAGGAAAACATTAATTATTTCTTTTTCTTGGGTCTCATAGTAAAATGTTCTTCGTTATATCACTTATCACATTTATTTTAGTTGATTATGTTTGTCTTCAACATTCAATTATACTAGGATACTCCTAGCTTCATGGCCTTCTTCGTAGCACACAGTTATATCCTTAATAATTTTTTAAATTAATGAATAGATCATTAAAGTTCTATGAGTATAAATACTTGAGTAATTAAGACAAAAGTTGCTTCTATTAACAGGTAGGATGTGAAATGTTGGAAGTTGTTTAAAGTGATGACAGTGTGTGCAATAAAAATCATACATGAATCCCTGAGAGATTATTGTCATAAAGCAGTTTCAAGTGTTTTGTATTTATTTGCATCCAAATAATACCTTTTATATAATGCTTAAATTTTCACAAAACATTTTTTAGCAATTATATCATCTGATAATTATACCAGCCTGTGAAGTTACCAGGGCAAATATAATTCCCAGTTTTTATTTCATTAATTTAAGTTTTTCTTATTATAAATATGTAAGATGTGTTTATTTGGCAATATGGTAAAAGAGCCTTAACATGTTTGGTCCAGTAATCTCAATGGAAATTTTACTACAGAAGTAAATCAGAAATAAAGTGAAATATTACATCCAATGGTATTAATTTCTGTATTATATATAATAATGAAAAGGAAAATAATATAAATGAGTGACAATATAATTGGTTGAATAAGTTATGCTGTTTCCATTTGATTGAATATTATTGTGCCATTAAAATCACATTTACAAATTAATTAAGATTATATACACATGTGTACAATTGTTATCCATATTGTATACATTTTTAAACCAAATGCACCAAAATGTTAACAATGGTTGTTTCATGTAATGGGATCATGTGTGAGTTTTTTTTTTTTTATACCCTCTGTTTTCCAAATTTTCTGCAGTGAAATGAATTACATTCACAAGCTTGGAAGCAATAAATATACTTTGAAAAATTAAAATAGTAGCAAAGTAGAGAAGACATTGCTTATCTCTCCAATATCAATTCACTTCTCCCCTTCTTCCTAAAAAAGCACCAAGTTTGTTTACTCCAGAGAATGATTCTTTTTAGCCAGTCAGCACATAGCTTTTCTGGCCACTGCCTTGTTGTGACCATTAGGTGAACCAGCTTGAGGATGAAGCCCACAATGAGGACACACAGTGAAGATATGAAAAGAACTGGGGCATTGATGATGGTGTTGAATTACTGTCTTTATTGTGCCTGAACCCAAGCCTGTACTAGACTTCTTAGTTCTTTTTTTTTTTTTTAATTATACTTTAAGTTTTAGGGTACATGTGCACAACGTGTAGGTTTGTTACATATGTATACATGTGCCATGTTGGTGTGCGGCACCCATTAACTCGTCATTTAATATTAGGTATATCTCCTAATGCTATCCCTCCCCCCTCCCCCCAGCCCACAACAGGCCCTGGTGTGTGATGTTCCCCTTCCTGTGTCCATGTGTTCTCATTGTTCAATTCCCACCTATGAGTGAGAACATACAGTGTTTGGTTTTTTGTCCTTGCGATAGTTTGCTGAGAATGATGGTTTCCAGCTTCATCCATGTCCCTACAAAGGACATGAGCTCATCCTTTTTTATGGCTGCATAGTATTCCATGGTGTATATGTGCCACATTTTCTTAATCCAGTCTATCATTGTTGGACATTTGGGTTGGTTCCAAGTCTTTGCTATGGTAAATAGTGCCGCAATAAACATACGTTTGCATGTGTCTTTATAGCAGCATGATTTATAATCCTTTGGGTATATACCCAGTAATTGGATAGCTGGGTCAAATGGTATTTCTAGTTCTAGATCCCTGAGGAATCTCCACACTGACTTCCACAATGGTTGAACTAGTTTACAGTCCCACCAACAGTGTAAAATTGTTCCTATTTCTTAGTTCTGTCAAATAAGAAAGTTTCTTTTGTTTAAGCAAGTTAGGTTTTCTGTTACTTGCAGCTAAAAATATTCTAATTGATACAGTATTAATTACAGGAAATTTGTAAAGTAGAGGATTAGAAGTCAGGGGAAAATATCACTTATAGTTTCATAACCTAGATGTCAGCAGTGTTAACATTTTGGTAAATTTCCTACTTTAGTGTGACTTTTTTATTCATGCTATAGGTACCATATGTAGTGAGTATTTTCCTTAATATTATGATATATATATTTCCATACTATTTTATTCACTTCATTAACATAATTTTATCACTATAATATTTCATACATTTCAGCAAAAAAACTATAATATGGTCTATTAGTCTGTTCTCACACTGCTAATAAAGACATGCCCAAGACTGGGTAATTTATAAAGGAGAGGTTTGACTCACAGTTCCACATGGCTGAGGAAGCCTCACAGTCATGGCAGAAGGCAAATGAGGAGTAAAGTCACGTCTTGCATGGTGGCAGGCAAGAGAACATGAGCAGGGGAACTCCCATTTATAAAACCATCAGATCTTGTGAGGCTTACTACCAGGAGAACAGTATGGGGGAAACTGCTTCCATGATTCAATTATCCCCACCTGGCCCCACCCTTGATATGTGGGGATTATTACAATTCAAGGTGAGATTTGGGTGGGGACACAGCTAAACCATATAGTTTCACCTGTGACCCCTCCCAAATCTCATGTCCTCACATTTCAAAACCAATCATACCTTCCCAACAGTCCCCCAAGTCTTAATTCATTTCAGCATTAACTCAATCTGAGACAAGGCAAGTCCCTTCTGCCTATGAGCCTGTAAAATCAAAAGCAAGTTAGTTACTTCCTAGATACTGTGGGTACAAGCTTTGGGTAAATACGCCCATTCCTAATGGGAGAAATTGGCCAAAACGAAGGGGCTGCAGGCCCCATGCAAGTCCAAAATCCAGCAGGGCAGCCAAATCTTAAAGCTCTGAAATGATCTCCTTTGACTCCATGTCTCACATCCAGGTCATGCTGATGCAAGAGGTGGGTTCCCACAGCCTTGGGAAGCTCCACCCCTGTGGCTTTGCAGGGTACAGCTTCCCTTCTGGCTGCTTTCACAGGCTGGTGTTCTGTGGCTTTTCCAGGTGCATGGTGCAATCTGTTGGTGGTTCTACCATTCTGGGGTTGGGAGGATGGTGGCCCTCTTCTCACAGCTCCAATAGGCAGTACCCCAGTGAGGACTCCATGTGGGGGCTCCCACCTCACATTTCCCTTCCACACTGCCTTAGCAGAGGTTCTCCATGAGAACTCCACCCCTGCAGCACACCTCTGCCTGGACATCCAGGCATTTCCGTACATCCTCTGAAATCTAGGCGGAGGTTCCCAAACCTCAGTTCTTGACCTCTGTGTACCCACAGGCCCAATACCACATGTAAATTTACAAGGCTTGGGGCTTCTTCCCTCTGAAGCAGTGACCTGAGGTGTACATTGGCCCTGTTTAGCCACAGCTGGAGCTGAAGCAGCTGGAACGTGCAGGGCACCATGGCCCTAGGCTGCAGAGAGCAGGGGGGCCCTAGGCCTTGCCCACAAAACCATTTTTTCCTCCTAGGCCTCCAGGCCTGTGATGGGAGGGGCTGCTGTGAAGGTGTCTGACATGCCCTGGAGACATTATCCTATTGTCTTGGTGATTAACATTTGGCTCCTCAGTACTTATGCAAATTTCTGCAGCTGGCTTGAATTTCTCCCCAGAAAATGGGTTTTTCTTTTCTATCCCATCGTCAGGCTGCAAATTTTCCAAACTTTTATGATCTGCTTCTTCTTGAACACTTTTCTGCTTAGAAGGTTCTTCCACTGGGTACCGTAAATCATCTCTCTCAAGTTCAAAGTTCCACAGATCTCTAGGGCAGGGCAAAATGCCACCAGTCTCTTTGCATAGCAAGAGTGACTTTTACTCCAGTTTCCAACAAGCTCCTCATTTCCATTTGAGACCACCTCAACCTGGACTTCATTGTCCATATTGCTATCAGAATTTTGGGCAAAACTATTCAATACATCTCTAGAAAGTTCCAAACTTTCCCACATTTTCTTGTCTTCTTCTGAGCCCTCCAAACTGTCCCAACCTCTGCCCGTTACCTAGTTCCAAAGCTTCCACGTTTTCAGGTATCTTTTCAGCAGTGCCCCACTCCCAGTACCAATGTACTGTATTAGTCTGTTCTCATGCTGCTAATAAAGACATACCCAAGACTGGGTAATTTATAAAGGAAAGAGGCTTGATTGACTCACAGTTCCACATGGCGGGGAAGCCCTCACAATCATGACAGAAGGCAAATGAGGAGCAAAGTCACATCTTACATGGTGGCAGGCAAGAGAGCATGCGCAGCAGAGCTCTCCCTTTATAAAACCATCAGATCTTGTGAGACTTATTCATTATCATGAGAACAGCACAGGAAAAACTTGCCCCCACTATTCAATTACCTCCCACTTGGGCCCTCCCACAACATGTGGGGAATATTACAATTCAAGGTGAGATTTAAGTGGGACGTAGAGCCAAACCAAATCATATGGTTAAGCCATTCTAATTGTTGGACATTTTTATTGCTTCCAAGTTTTCACTATTATATGTTGCATTACAGTTGACATCTTTTTACTTTAGATTTTGTGGTATTTTAAAGTTTTTTTTCATGCTAAATACTCAGAAGTAGAAGTGCTAGGTTTAGGTATTTCTAATCTTCTGGACCACTTGCCAAGTGTATTTTCTAAGGATTATACCAATTTCTAGTGCCACCAATGATATATCAGAATACATATTTTATTGCATGTTCTCCAGTATCGTTTTTAAGTCATTCATTTAATGTGATATATAGAAATAGTTTCTTCCTCTATTAATTTTCATTTTTTTTGTATTAGTGAGGTTTAACTTTCCTCATGTAATAATGTTGCTGTTGCTGATGGTAGTTATTTATTGAGTGTTTATTATGTGAAAGGTTTTGTTTGAAACCCATCACATAGATTTTTATATTTAATTTGCCGGAGTTTGTGAGTTACTGTTACTCTAACTAGTACATGAGGAAAATGAGTCACAATAATTAAATACCTTCCCGGGTTTACACAGCTGGTAATGGTGAAGACGTGTGTCAGTTACAATTTGGTTTTGTGGCAAGATCCTGAGGGCCCTGATTCAGTGGTTCCCCTTAGCTGGTGCAGTGGCTCTGCAGCATCCTCCTGGCCTCGGACTACTTGTACTCTTGCCCCCAGTCCTTAGTGCAGCTTTTGTCCTCATGGTTGCAGGTGCTCTTATGCCTCCAGGCTCTTAATTGGCCTTCCATTCAGAAAGAAACATAAAAATGAAAAACCCTCTACAGGACTTTTACATTATATTGAACAGAATAGTGTCACAGGGTTACCTGATACTATAAGGGAGACTAGAAAGTGATACCTTCATTTTTAAATTCTGATTAATAGAAAAAATAATTTAAAAGGGGACAAGGACTTTGAATGAGTGTTGAACAGGCCAGTGTCTTTTTCTTATACAAATCATCTCTTTAACTTGTGTGCGTTGATACACACCCTTCACATTAGTAACATGTACATTTAATGTCCCCATTCTCCTCTGCATGTAATACAACTTCAAACTGTCATCCAGTTACTGCATCTCAGTTAATGCATGTTGAGTCACGGATGATATATAGAAGTTTACATCAGGTCTAGGGCTCATATGGTCTAGACAGTTTATCTGCCCCCACCTCATAAAATGCATGAGAAAGAATAGAGTAACTAATTTAAAACTCCCTTGCAGAAAATGGAGGAAAGCAAAACTCATCTCAGTACTTATCCAGGTGGACATGATACAGTGAGACCTTCCTGCTATCAACTTGGTTTTAGTTTGTTGGTTGGTCCCTGGTTCTATCCTGTGTGGTTGTCTTCCTTATTCCTTGCATTCCCCTTTCTGGAAGCTGCACTATATTTCATTTCACTTTCTTTGAGAAGTCAGAGGCCTAAGACACTCACAGGCTGTCATCGGCCAGATTTGGATTTTTCAGGGGCAGGACAGTTCTCTTTTGCTGGGTTGTGTTGTGTTGTATCATCCTGATCAAGCATGGTGACAAAAGATGCGGAGGTGCATCTCTCCTTCTTTCTGCATCCAGTTCATCTTCCTGTGATCCAGGGCATGTTCATATCCTTCCATGACTATGGACACATTTATCTGACTTCTTTAATCAAGAAAGAGGCTCAATGTCTAGAGTGAGGAGGACCCTCTTGATTTGGGAGTCAACATTTATTTCCATTGGGCATGCTCATTTCTTAAGTCACTGGGAAAACTGCCAATTTTGGATGAGGCTTGGAGTGGAAACTGGCTCTGCAATCATTCCAGGCCACTGTGAAAGGTGCTCTCTGCTTGGAAAATGTGACCCAGTGGTACAAGTATGCTCAGAGTGTCATAGCAGATAAAGGTGTTGTGTGGACTCTTGGACACAGTGTGTGAACCTTTGGGATGTTAGAGAAAGCCATGCTATTCTTTGTAGATAACTATTCTCCTTTTGAGAAACAGCTTTTGGATTTGTGCCGGTTCCAGTTTGGGCCAACAAGTTACTATGTAATCTGAGCTACATCATGAGGTAGGCGTTATCTAACCCACTGAGCCATGGAGTTGGGTATGCATAGCAGCACTCTTCCATCCACTGGGAATGGTGTACTGGTGTGTACAAGATTGGGCTCAAGCAGGTCCCGAGGGAGTGGTAAGTTGCACAAACAAGTGTCTCAGACCTTCATGGTTTCCGTTCCTGCCACTCCACTTCAGCCTGCACCTGTGACCTCATGGGAAGTTCTTTATAAAATCTGAGCATCAGTTATAGAGTGCTGTACATAGTATGTTGGCAGCAGCCACAAGTAGACAGCCCTACCCACAGGGGTGGTCCTGAAGGAGAGTGGGGAAGAGAAATATCAATAGATAAGGCTCTGAGAAGTACACCAGTCTGTCAACCTTGTTAAGAATGAGAGATGACTAGAAGTATGGACTGCACAGATTTTTAAGCAATAAGTCAACAATTTGGCCCACTGATCAGAGGCATAGAAGGAATAAGATTGGAAATTTGGTGACAGTGTTGTGAGAAAAGTGTATGTAACTAGATATCTCCAAACAAGCACACAGCACATAGGAATGCACACTAATGAGAAACTCAGCAAATAACCTTAGTAACCCAGTGGACAACATGACTCCTGTGGGCATTGGTCAGCCTCTTCCTTCCTTGCCAATAGGGTCATGAACAAAGTGGCCATGAAAACAAAGATGGAAGGTCTGCATGGTTACCAAGGCATAATCTAGCTACAGCTCTTCTGAGTGCCCAATTTTCTAACAGCAGAGTCTACCAAGGAGTCCCCAATATGGCAACGCTGACCAGGGAGAGAGCCAGCCACCTGGTACCAGGTTGATTACATTGGATCAAGTTCATCATGAGAGGGGCAATGCTGTGTTCATATCGAAATCTGTCACAAATTTGCTTTCCCTGACTACAGTATTTCTGCCAAAACCACCATCTGTAGACTTACTAAATAAATTTATTGCTGTCATTTTCTTCACAGCAGTGCTACTGACCAGGGAACTCATATTTAATGACATGTGGCAGTGGGCTCATACTCATGTAATTCATTGGTCGTACCACGTTCTCCATTACCTTGTAGCATCTGGGGTAATAGAATGGTGGAATGGGCTGCTGAGTACGCTTATGGTGCCAGCTGGGTGACATCACTTAGTTGAGCTAGTGTAATTTCCTCCTGGGTGTGATTTTTTTGCTCTGAATCAGCAACTAATAGCAATTTGCCAAATCACCCTCTTTGGTTCTATGGTCAATGGTGTTTTTGTGAATATTGTAAGGAGGTCATAGTGGAAGCCCCTAGAACTCTCCCTTCCAATATGACTCTAATATATGGTGCTGTTGCTTCCATGATTAAGATTCATGGGTCTCAGAATTGTGTGTGGGTTGGAGGGGTGTTGATGGAAATAGATTCTCACTACTACCCTGGATATCCACTAGCAAACATTTGCTTCCTGTCTCTGTAATTTTGGACTCTGCTAATTTGGAAGTCATACTTCCCAAGGGAGGAATGCTTCTAATAAACTGAAACCCAGGACTGCCACCTCATGTTGTTGAACCAGCTGGCACAAAATAAGTTACTGTACTGGCTGGAGTGATTGATCCTAACCATGAAGGGGAAATTGGGTTGCCATTACACAACAGAGTTGGGGAGATCCTCTGTGACATATCTGAGTACTCTCTTGTCCTGTGGTAAAAGTTAATTGAAGACTACAACACTCAATATAGGCGGGGTTGGTAATAGCACAGAATGAAGGTATGGCAGCTATGAAAATGTGGCTCTCTGACCTTCTGCTGTAAGGAGTCACTGACCAGTGGCTCCATTGCTGCACTCTGATTCCACTGTGTTTGCACTGCGTCTGTGCTTCTAGACTGAGCACAGCAGAGGCCTGCTGCCAGTCTTTCCCGGCTATGTGAGAATTTCCTGCGGCCGCTATGGCTGGAGGGCCGCTCCTCTGCAGCCAGTTGCTTCTCAAAGCTAAGTGGAGTCTAAGGCCTTCCCTCCTTCCTGCTCTCCTGCATTATTATCCAGAGGATCTCCCAGCCCCTCCTCTCTTCCTTCCCTTTTTCTCTTACAGACATTTTAAACTATAATACATCTCTTACATGTCTAATCCTATTTTTGTGACAGTTTCTCAGAGGATCCAAAGTAACCCAAGTGATGCCAGGAGCCAGAAGTGGTCTGAGAATACAGGCAGTGGGATGGGTCTCTGCGATTCATTCACTGCCCACCCCGTGGGCAAAGAGGGTACCCTTCTGAATGGCTTGTGCATGCAGGTGTTATGGCTTAGGCCTAAGAAGGAGACAAGGGTGCCACCAAGGACAGCAAAATTGGCTGACAACTGTTAAGTGAAGCAGATGCTTTGAAAAGGAATGAGAAACTGAGGGCTTTAACAAGATTGAAGACTTTGGGCAAACTTACTGCTAGAAAAAGTGATGGGCAACACAGTAAATGAGAAATGCCTAAGCTGCAGGTAGTAGAAGAAGGAATAGAGAAGCTGATGGAATTGGGAATGCTGGAGCTGATAAATTATATGAAGTTAAAATAACCCAACAGAGCATTATGTTCCACAAGAGGACTCAAGGACACACCATTCATGGCACTATCAGGGACACACTTGTTCTCTAAGCAGCACCAGCATCGCTAAACACCTAATTGGTGGGTTTTCTCTATTGGCCAGGATTGATGGGAGGAAAGGTAGAGATAGTAATGCAACAACTACAGGCAGATGGAATGCTTCACTATGGGGCACCAAGTGACTACACAGAACTGCCCATTATGCAGAGTCCACTGACCCAACAGCAGTCCATTCAGGACTGAGTCCAAGCAGGTCCTGAGGGCCCAAGTAAGCTACATTCGCTGACAGACCAAACTTCCAAATTACCCACAACAATCATACCATTTCCCTTCCCCAAGCTCAACATGAGGAAAAACCCCAAGGTTGATTTATGGGTTCTGTCAGTGGGTGAAGCCAAAATTTGATAGTGACTGCCCTATTTTAGAGGGAGATCTGAAAGACAGTGGAGAGGGGAGAATATGTGTAATTCTTTGACAGCGGCCGATGATGTGGCTGCAGCCAGGGGCCTGGAAGGAAAGACCAAAAGACTGGAGACAAGGAGGTCTGAGGCAGAGGCCTGTGGATGGATGTATGGACATGAGTGCAAAGTGTGAAGACTTTTCAGTCACATAGTTAACACTCAGCAGAAAACATGTACCTTAAAAGAGGCTCTGAACAACCAAGTAGGTAATTTTTTCCAGGTGATTGGCATTGGCCATCTTTCATCATCAGCTCCATCAGAATCCCACATAGACATATGGAGGGAGCAGCCAGGATAGAGCGATGGAGTGACATATGCACCCAATAGCATGGACACCTGCTTTCCCAGGCTTGTCTAGCTACTACCACCTCTCAATGTCTAACCTATCTGGAACAGAGGCCAACACTGGGTCCTGATGTAGCACTGTTCCCCAGGGACACCAATCATCCACTCAGTAGCAAATTAGTGCCATCTGGCCCCTGTCCACTGGTTCATCTTTACAGGGATGTATACGTACTCACTGTGTGTGTGTGCATACTATATCTGTACATACTATATCTCACCACCACCCAGAGGCTAATAGGAAGGCTGATGCCCACTCATGTAATCCTGCACAAAAGAACATATGACCAGTACTTAGACCACTTCTCAGCACAGGAGGTGGAGAAATGGACCAGATACTACCAAACAGGGGTCAGGAGTGCTGCCTGCTTTCATGCCTGGAGAGTGGATGAAGAGGCCAGCTCCTGCTGGGCCCATTCAAATCAGAGGTAGGTAGTTGTTTACCTGGAGGAGGGTGCACATAGCTAGAAAAGTTTTTTGCTGTTAGATCATCCTTTTCCTGTGCATTGGGTTTTCTTGGAGTGTTTATGGTCGGTGCCTGTTGGTGGGTCTGGGATTTATGGGAGGCAATAAGGAAGCCGTGGAACAGACTGGGGTGTCGTTCCTCAAATCCTGAAGTCCTTGGGCAGCCACCACCTTCTTTCCAACTTTCAGAGTTTTTTAATGGTTGTTTGTTGTATTATGTCAAGGGTTTTTACTAGTAAGAGGGAGAACCCAGGAGAAATGGGGCTAGTCTATCTTGACAGAACCAGAAGTCTCCCATAATATAATTTTATTATCTTCTTAACACTGCAGAGTCTCTAGTGACAGCCCCTTTTCCATTCTATTATGACTTCTCCTTTGACCTTGGCCTCCTGAGTAGCTGGGACCACAGGTGTGTACCACCTCACCCATCTTGGAATTTTGTTTCTTAATTTGCAACATATGGAGACATTTTATTTATTGATAGTTTTTCTTGTTGAGTTATAGTTTAATTGAATTATCAGGATTTATAATTCATGTGATGTCAATGCTTTATAATGAAACTTTATAGCTCAGAGTAAAGTCAATGTTTATAAATTTTCCACATGCTTGTATTTTGTAATTTTTTCATGAAGAATTATGCACCTGTTTCCTAGGTCAGCTTGGTTAATTCTGTTGTTCAGGTATTTATGTATTTTATGAACATTTTGTCTCCTGTTCATTCACTGCTACATATAAAAAATTACCCTATAAATTATGGTATGCCTCCTTGCCTTATCAAGATCTAGTACTTATTTGTGCTTTTACCATTTTATAACGTTGTTATTATTATTATTATTATTATTTATTATTATTATTTGAGACAGAGTCTCGCTCTGTCACCTAGGCTGGAGTGCAATGGCACGATCTTGGCTCACTGCAACCTCCGCCTCCCCGGTTTAAGTGATTCTTCTGCCCCAGCCTCCCAAGTAGCTGGGATTACAGGCACCTGCCATCATGCCCAGCTAATTTTTGTATTTTTGTAGAGACGGGGCTTCGCCATGTTGGCCAGGCTGGTCTTGAACTCCTGACCTCAGGTGATCCACCTGCCTTGGCCTCCCAAAGTGCTGGGATTATAGGCATGAGCCAACATGCCCGGCCTATAACCCTATTCTTTAAAAATGCAGTTTAAATAAAGATATTTTAATGAAATGAAAGCTGAAAAAATTATCACCAGTAGAAATTCACCGAAAGAAATATTAAAGAGTATTCTTCAGGCAGAGGGAAAAGGATTTACAATGAAAGGTGAAGGAAGCAATAAAAAAACAAGAAAATGGCAAATGTGGGGATGTGGCTAAATGAATAATGACTATTAGAAGAAGAAGAAGAAGTTTTCATATTTAAAACACACAGAATTAAGATAGAGCAAAACAGTAGACACGGTGAGGGAATAGTTAATACATTGTCTATAAAAATGATAAAAGCACCAATAAGTATTAGGTCTTAATAAGTCACAGCTGTATACTATATAGGGCATTAATTATATGTATGGAATTCTAAATTGGCAGTTCTTTTCATTCAGCATATTAAAGATGTTTAACTGCCTTCAGAATTCCTTTTCTTATCCAAAGATAAGAATATTAAACATGCATCAAACATTCACAATTGTCATAATTCTTTTTTACATGGAATCTGTTTCCTCTGGCTGCCTTTATGATTCTCATTTTTTCTTCCTTTCACTGTAGTGCTGCTACTTGGGAATTCTTTGTTTTATCGTCTGTCATCAACTTTAGAAGGCCATCAGCCATTTTCTTCCTAACCATTGTTTTTCTGTTCCATCCTATCCTTTTTTGCCTTTTGGAACTTCAACTTAGTATCTGCTACATTCTTTACCTCTTCTGCATTTTCTATCTGTACTTCTTTGCATTTGATCTGTCTTCAGATTCACTCTTTTCTCTTAAGTTGTTTCTAATCTGTTAAATCCAGTCAACTAAGTCTTTAATTTCAGTTATTACATTTTGCAGTTCAAAAAATCTTTTTTTGGTTCTTTTCAATTTTGCTAGGTCAGTTTAGGTTTCTAATCCTCTGCTGAAATTTCCAATTTTGTCCTATAGTCTTTGAATATAGATTTATTTTATATCTGGGTCTGATTATTCCATCATTAGGAGACTGTGATTCTGAACCTATTGTTGTTTCTGCTCCATTGTATTTGTGTAGCCTCAGATCAGCTCTGCACCTTGAATGCAGCCCAGTGGAGCTACAAACACATATAGGGAGGTTACCCGCCTTTGTATACCCAGACTCTAAATTTTGCTCCATTTTTTCCATGAAATGTCAAAAAGTGCTATTCAACTTCTCAGCATGCTATTCCAATAGGAAATGTACTCAGGGAAAAATGCTCAGAATGCCAGACTAAACTCTAATTTGGGCTTTTCCAGCCGTTGGTCTGGTAGGTTTTCCTAAGTATTTAGTTCTCCACTGGCTTCAGGAAGAACTGTCTATTCTGCCCAGATTTTCCAGTTGCCCTTGGCAGAAGGATTGTTCTAAATTGCCTAATCTTCCAGTTCCGGAATGGGAAGTTCGTAGCCTTAAGAAAAAATACTTTTTGGTTTTAATTTATTTTTTAAAAAGCCTTTCTCCAAGCCAGCGCAGAGGAGCCTCTAGAGTGTTTCCATTAAAAAAAGAAATCTGAATCTAAGATATTTACTTACTGTTAGTCCATATTTCTCGATATGAGGTTTCATAATCATTACATTTACTTTTAGAAATGACAAAGCAGAAATGTATTATCACAGTCAATTCCGTGGGATATTATATTATAGATGCTACTTCAGGGTACAGCAGTGTCCATCTTTCATTAAATAAGAGAAATAAAAGTTACATATTTGAGTGAGCCTCAAGGATTATATTTTAAATAACTCAAAATATTTAAAGCATTTTAAGTATTTTTAATGACGTATATACATTTTATTTATCTTGCTTAATCTACTTTCAAAAGCTAAAATATTTCAAAGGATTATCTTAAATGTGACTCTACCTGGAAGTGCAAAACTCAGTTTAATAAATACTTTATTTTATAAATCAGGTCAATACACATACCCATCCAACAATACATACAAATTCGGCCTAATTATTTAAATTCAACTCCACATAAAATTAAGGTATTACAAAACATTTTTCTGGTAAATATATATATAAATGGGATAAAAACTAAGATATAAATTATATGTGTTAAATGTAAACATGAGGATAAAATATTTTTCAAATGAGCACTAAATTAAATTATTCATTTATTAGAATCTTCAAAATGTTCAAGTCTCATATTCCAATGTATTATGTTATAAACACTTTACATAGATCTTGTGCTTTATAAATATCTATTCTAGGCTACGTGTTTTACAAATATTCACTCATTTAATCCTCTTAGTGGTTGATACCACTCTCCCCATGTTACTGATGAGCAATCTGAGTTACAGAGAGGTAGGTAACGTGTACCTGATAAATAACCAGTAAGTGGTAGAACTGGGATTAGAATCAGACCTCCAAAGGCCAAAGTCTTTACTGCCAAGTTACATTAAAGCAAATAAATTGCAAACGTTTATTGAGAATACTTATGATATAAATGTTAAAAGGATGCTCTGGCCTTTGTTTCTAGAGACTATGTCTCTATAGCTATGGAGTAAGGCTCAGGCCAGGGATGGGAACAACTCACCTATGCCTTTTAACTCCTATCATCTCTGCTGGAAACCAGACCCATCCTCCAGCCAGCATGTTCTCACCCTGGTTTCCTGAAAGCATCATGGGCATTCCCTTTTGATCAGTTTGCTCTCCTCTTTTCCCCTCACTTGAATTCCCTTTGGTATCTTCAACACTAAGCACAGTGTTCTCCATCTGTCAGATATGCAGGAAAGGTGGTGACTGATGATTTATTAGTGGTTACAGTTGTTAGGTAAAATTGATGTTGTTTAATAAATTTGTACAGGACATGAACACTTACTGGAAAACTTTCACCAAATAATTTATAAAAGCATATCATTATTCTCAGTCTATAGAAACTGTCAGAAATTCATAAATGTAATAAGTACAACATTTTAGTACATTTCCCCTATAACAGTCTATTAGAAATGAAGACAAAAAGCTATAATTTTACATTCATCAGGTACCTTGTAAAGCATCACACAGACTTGGTAAATGATGTTATTTAAAATGACTTTTTTTTTAAGTTTTCAAATACTGAGTTTATGGAATAAGTATTTAAAATTATTTTAAACAATTCAAATTATAAATAGTAAATAACACAATTAAATACATATGTGTTTTATTCATGCTATATTTATAGCTATGTGCAAATAGTTGTGAACTTTATGTAGCCGTATTGACATAGACAAATGAGAATAGCAAACTCGGCCAAGCAGAGTCTCTCTCTGTTCCCTTACATCCTTCACTGCTTAGGTCCAGCTTTCCGTGGACTTAAGTCTGACTTAAAAGGAATTTCTTGCCAACAATGCAGTGCTTCTCTTGTCTTTTGTTTGTTTTGTTTTGTTTTAATCAGACCCTTGCTTATATTTATATCCACCTTTCCTATCACAGCAAATTGAGAGAGTAACTGTTTAACCATTTGTATAGATGCATGCATGTATAGAAAGATGACCTTCCAGCTGGAAAATTTACATCATTCTGAGGAATAAATTTAAAGGAAAATTATCTCATCCAAATACCACTTTTATTATTTTCATTTTTTCCTTAAGAAAAGGATTCATCGTGTATTAAAATGTTTGAGTTTTTTAGTCATACTTCTTAATATTTTAAATGTTTCAGACAAACCTCTGTTTTGCTCTATATTGCTCTGTTCCATTTTGCTTCCATATCCAAATTAATGTCTCCTTTTATTTTCTCTCCTGGTTATTATAATAACATGATTTGTCCTCTGAAATGTAGGTATGCTGTTTATTGTACCAAAAAAAAACACCATTATGTTTATTTTAAAGACATTTACTTTCTTGGCTTCAATAGAAGGCACAATTTTGAATCTCACTTCAGTGTTATTTGTAACAAATATTTTAAGGTATCAGTTGGCCATAATTAATCTAAAACCTACAAAAACATATATAGAACATAATGATTTTTGTATCAAGCTCCTTTATTGCACTGATGCCTATCTTAAAATGAAAATCTTTTTCTTGAGAGAAAACAGTCAGAGCAGGTGGGAGCAATAGATAGACCTGGCCGGTGGCAGCTGAGCCCCCTGGGGATGAGTGGGACTACCTCTGTCCACCCACAACCTTCACCATTGCTGTTATTGTTTGGAGTGGGGACAATCTTTGTTTTTGTTTTAAGAAATAGCATACACCTTGAAACTACAGATTTAACATTATGTAACATGGGTAGATTATTTTTATAATTAATCTATATTAAATTAAATTGGGGTTTGTGAGGATTTTTTATTTAATCCTCACAATAAACCAGGGTATACTGCAGAGTATAACTAGCCCAAGCAGGCACTTAGTTTTTTATGTCATTGGAACATACAATGGTAACTTCATAATTTTATCACTAGCTAGCTACTATGTATCAGAAAATGGCAAAATTTTGCTTAAAAGTATAAATCATAATACTGATGTAAGTTTATGACTTTAATGCAAAAGTTCAAAATGGCATGTGATGCCATCGCTTTTTTTATTAGTTTAAGGATATCTGCTGGTATCCTTGACTCAGAGCTTCATGGGTCCAAAGACCATATATGACTCTATCACCCAGGTCTAAATTGCAGTTGACACATAGAATGCAATGAATAAATCGATTCAGTAAGACTCACAGCTGCTCCCCAGGGAAGAATATTTGGAAGCAGGTAGAGCTATCCATTCCAGTCCTGACTGTGCCCCATGTAGGATAGCTTTGGAACCAGACAGATTTGGCCTCAGTTCCATCACTGATTTTTTTTTTTTTTTTAAACAGAGTCTTGCTCTGTTACCCAGGCTGGAGTGCAGTGACGCGATCTCGGCTCAAGCAACCTCCACCCCCTCGGTTTAAGGGATTCTCCTGCCTCAGCCTCCCGAGTAGATTACAGGCATGTGCCACCATGCCCAGGTAATTTTTTTGTATTTTTAGTAGAGATGGGGTTTCACATGTTGGTCAGGTTGGCCTCAAACTCCTGATCCACCTGCCTCAGCCTCCCAAAGTGCTGGGATTATAGGCGTGAGCCACCACGCCCAGCCCATCACTGAAATTTGGATAAGTTACCCACCATATGTTGACTTCTTCATCAATATAGCAGAGTTGATAAAATGAATAAATCAGATAAAAGAATATGAAATTTGAAATTGTAGTGTTTGCCCTATAATCATCACCTAATAAATGGCAGTTTACTTCTCTTGGCTCCAGAAAAACTGGGTCACAATATTTGGTTATATTTTGTAAATTTCAATATGAGAATCATACCTGAACAACCTGATGCTTCAATACTATTTTTAAAAAGAGATCTCTAGATTTAGGAAACAAAATATAGCATAAGCATTTAGACTAGGGAGGCTACAACATTTTTGTGACGAGCTACTATTTACTTTGACAAGTATCAAGATTGATATTCTAGAATTAGGGATCAGTGTTGCTATTCATTATCTTATTTATGGGGAGTGGGGTAAAAGACCATTTTGGAAATTTCTGTCTATTTTCTAGAGGTCCCTGACCTAAACACAAATGATAAGACTTCAAATCACGGGCTCTGATATAAAGCAGATTTGGATTCTTAACTCAGCCTCTCATTCACTAGACTGAATCTTAAGGCAGTTTTTAAATTTCCCTGAGCCTATATTTACTTTTCTGCAACAAAGGGGATAGCATTACCCACAATTTGGGAGAACTGTGAGGTTAAATGTGATAATAAGTGAAGGAAACCTAGCATAACTTTTGGCCGATGATATACATTCACCGACTGCTTAAGAATGGCTTTTTAAAACTATGAAACTACTTGGTAGTATAAAGAACATTAATAGTTTCATAGGTGTATATTACTTACTGGATACTTTTCACTTTTTTCCATTATAAGAATTATATGCTTAGGAAAAGAATAAACCCTGAAAACTAATAGAAATGAAAATAGAATTGTATTTATTTGACAATGTAAATATAAAAGTAAAGGGAATGGAAAAATGAAATCTTTCCATAAAATGTGTTTGGAAACAGTTCTTTCTAAAACATAAATTACAGAAATTCAAATAATAGAAAATATTAATCATTAAATAAAATAATGATCATTAAATATTAATCATCTAAATACACTTTAATGTATATGTTGGTCTTAATATAATTAGATACCAAATAAAATTGAGAAATATTTCTACTTGCTGAAAATTGAATTAAAAACTAAAGTCGCAATATTTGCAATTGTGTTTAGTCATCAGGCTGTATTCATAATATACTAAATTGACTTTAGGTACATACTTTGATTGCTTTTGATAATTCTGTGCCTATATAATAGGTCAGCCAGAGGTTTTATGTACTTTTCTGAACTTTAAAGGAAAGAGTTAAACAGTATGCACGTCTTAAATCATAAACTGCTCATGGGCCAAGCACTGAGAGCACATTTTCATTTAAGTTTCCTAATTCTATTGAAACTTTGGCTGAATACTTTTCAGGGTGATTGTCAGTGTCACTTAATATTCAATGGGATTTGTTCATTTAAAAATTAGCCAAATCTTTGTGTTAAGGCTAGAATAGCAGGTGCTTTGCAAAATTTAAAGTGAAATTTGACACTACAGTAAAATTTCAACAACCATCACTTTTAAATGGTTATCATTCAGATTATGGAAGCTACTATATTTCTGTACAAATGACTCAGCTCATTATTGTATCAGTTCACTAGATACCTACTGAGGTGTTTAATTATGTTATGTAGAAAGATTAAAACACACAGAAATGATCAATATCACAAATGAAAGTCTAAGAAAATTGTTTTCCAAAAATTAGAAATAAGAAAGTAAACAAATATCAAAACTGTAAACTTGACTTCCTTTATCATAAAGGGCCAGTGTCTCTTCAATACAATCAACTTTCTTCAGCATCAAAAATTTCACACTAAAAGCAATTTTTTTCTGACTTGCACCAGAAATGGCCAATAGCTGTCAGAGTTCATCCGAAAACTACCATGGGGTATTTGGGGTATTTGATGTGTCTCTGGGTTCTGTGACTTAGATATTTGATACTTGTAAGTTGACAGAGAAATCAAAAGACAACTGGGTTGGCAAACAGTAATGGGAGTTTTTAGTTGCTCTTTAATACATACATTGTCCTTAAACAAGAATAGCAAATAACTCTGAACTAATAGATGGAATACAATTCAACAAGCCTTTAACATATAGATATTGGGTGATGTTTTGGGAATTGAATATTTCACAGCCCAAACTAAAGGGATTTGTAAATAATAGAAGAAGCAGGCATAAAATTAACCATTATGCAAACTATGGTATGATTCCTAAATGATATGTTAAAATAAGAAACCAAATTAGTACTATTACTGGGACATAGAGTGACAATTCTTCCAATAAGAACTACAGAAGCCTTACCAGCAATGGCACTTGAACTGGACATTGAAAATGGCTAATACTCAACATGCTGCAAAGGACACTCAGGGCAGGATCTGAGATAGTAAAGACCATGTTTAGAGTATAGTCTGTGGTACCCAGGGCCCAGAAGTCTCACCAGCCACAGGGGCCTGGGTCATGGTGTTGTCCATGATCTAATTGTGAAGACACCAGTCTTCCATGTTGAGGAGTTTGGATGTTATTTTGTGTGTGATTGCGATCCTCAAAGAATTCAGTTGAAAACTAGATCTACATTTAGAAAACTAAAATAATAGACTGAAGAAGTTGGTGTGAAGTGAGGATATGACATAAGTAGGCTGTTTAATCTGTGCTACGGAGCAATGAGAACCTGATCTTTGGAAGTTGCAGCTGAAATGTGAAAAATATGTACTGTAAAAATGCACTTATTCCTGAATAAGTAAATTGTTCTCTCTTAATCTGATTCTTCAGAATAGTTACTGACTGTATCAACCATCAGATGCTACTAGTGAGGAAAAAAAATATAGTAGGTAAGTAGGTTCAGTAAGACAGTTACAAATTATGTTGGCCAAAGAAGCATGTATGTTTTTACCAATGATGCTTATTTGTACATCTGATACTCTTCATAATAACATTATGTTGGGGAAAAATATGATATTAAAAATAACAATGAAAAGTAGGATTGATCTCTTGCCCATTGAAGCAAATTTAGCAAATTGTTAATATTTTTAAAATCATAGTTTATGTCTATAATTTTGTTTTCTACATGTTTAAATAGTCCACATTTAAAATAATGGATTTAGTTTCCAACAATGCTTGTTTGAAACAGTGTATATTTTGTAAGTTTCAGATAATGTATACATTTAAAAACCCATTTCACTGCTTAAAAACAAAAATTAAACATCTGAATTTTATGATTTTTTAGGACTTTTAACCTTATATAAATGCAACATTTATGTTGGAGAACGAGGGAAGAAAGTTTATTAAACATATTATTGATGTTATGAACTTAAAACTGCATGATAATTCTTCTTAGCATGTTTTACTGCACAAAGCAGGTGATGAAATTCTAAGTATCAAAAGATTAAAAGTATTATAATCAAACCTAAATTAGTTTCAAGGCTTACAGACCCCTTGATGTCAAGGACACTGTGCCTCTCCATCTGCACTAGCTGCAACATTATAGCAGGACTTGCCTGGACTGGAGTGCATCTAATACTTCTTGCATGCAGGGATGAAATACAAGTTTTTGAAATGACTTTTCTCAAGACTTCTGGGAAATGTCAATAAAAAGTATTGTTAATCCACCCAACAAGTAAATATCCTATCACTGAAAGAATGAATTTAACTTGAAAACCTCTAAGACATCAGATAATTTCCAGAACCATTCTATTGCTTACATAAGTAGCTTTATACTTTCAGATCTAAATATGGGTTGAAAATTTGAAATAAATTCATTAATACATTTGTAAGCACGATTTAGTTTATTAACTTGAACAAATCATTTAACAATTATTAGGTACTTATAGAGCAGGCCTATTTGAATTTTAGTGATTATGGCTTTTCCAGAACTTCTATACTTGAATTCTGAGGCCCCCTTTTCTGTGCTATCTCCAAACCATATTATTTTGAAATTGAGTAACTTATACTTTCCTTTTTTATTGGGCAGTTATTCAGGTTATTTATTGAATAGAACAGTTTGTTGTTGACAATCTCAGCAAAGAGTTCTCTGACAACAGAGGGGAGGAAAATAGAATGTCAATCTGAGATAGCTATGTATTTGTGAAAGTCTAACTGCAAGAAGAAGTTGATCTTGGACAAAAATGCAAATAATGCCATTATTATTAATGAGTATATACAGTGTCAAAAATCCAAGTTCTTCCATGTGTTTGGTTTATGCATTATTTCTATGAGGAGAGAGGAATGAGGGGGTTGAAATCAGAGATGGGGAGGGGAGTTACTTTGGTGTAATAACAGCCATTGAGCTTTAGCTCTTAGGAGTGTGTGCTGGTGACCCTGCAGGTCAAACTAAGTTTAGAGCAAGTGAGTCAGTTAACTTCCCAAGATGATACTGGGTTCATTCTCTCTATATGCAACAAAATACTAGGTTTTCTGAAATTCTCACAGCATTGAAAACACCATTGCAATTATTTCAGAGCTCATCATCCATTCTGGTAGGAATTATTATTAAGGGAAACAGGAAGACTTTGAGCTGCATGGACTGAGTCTCTAACTGCATCATGCCTGATGGAGAGAGAAGAGGTTACTAATGGCCCACCTACCCATGGGGGCTAGGGCCATTTATTAGCAAAACGACAACTTTAAATAACTGTGTCTCAAACAATCCATCCTTGAATAAAGGAGGGATGGCCAATGTCTACCAGTCTTTAATACAAAGGTTAAATTTTGGAAAGCTGATTACACCTGAGAACAATTAGCTAATAATTCCCCTGAGTATTTTCATGAAATCTATGTACTGGTAGTTCCTTTGGCTCAAGGTGTTCTTTATGAACAAGACAAAAATTAAATGACTATATGTAGTGTTTTGATGACTCAGTCAGTGGCATCTTTATACTTACTAAGGTTCACAATAGTTTAATTTTTCAATTATGATAGATGTATCCATTTTTCTTGAATGTTATTCAGTCTTTAATGATTGAATTATTTTTTATATAATGATTTTTTCATGTTCTCCATCTTCTCATTAGGAAGGCTTTCTAATCTCCATTTGCTGGTCTCTAGTTTGGCTCCTAATACAATACATTATGATTTCATATACTTCTTATGCCAGAGACCGAAAGTCCAAGAAGGCAAGAAATCAAGCCTTATTCCCTTGTTGTCAATGCTTTGTACTTAATAGGTTCTTAATGCAAAATTTCAGAATAAACAAAAATATGAAAAATACCTTTAGAGGCTTCAAATAATGATTATATATATTTTAATCCTTTAAAGACATTAATAGTGATTATAGTTTTGCTTTTTTTATCCTACACCTATTAAGACTCCAATTACCTCTTTCATCAACACACCGCATGCTGATATGATTGATAAAGGTAGAACTATTTTCTATTATGCATTAATTAGATTAGCAGGACTTTGCAGTGGCTTTTTATGTTCTCTGTTCAAATGAAGAGAAAAGAAGTTGGTTTGGAATTATAACTATAGGAAAGTTGTGGAGTGCACTTGGTCTTCAGCTTTGTTTTAACAAAATAACTGCTTCCTCACTCTGCTTGTGAAGGGTGGCTAATTCAAGGTTATCAGTCAAGATTTTACTGTGTAGTTTATGGAGGATAGATGACTCAAGTCTGATGACAAATATGATTCCACTGAACTGACAGCTGAGTTATCTGTAGCACATTTAGATTTCAGGTATATAAACTTGTTTAGGAGTTTGATTTTCCTTAACTATCCTAGGAGAATCGAAGGACTCCTCCCCTATTTTGTTGTCTGCTTCAGCTTGATGGAACAGTAATGCAAATTTTCCAGCCTACTTTATTCCTCAGTTTAGGGAATGAATTAAAGTTATCCTTAGAAGAGAAAATAATGTAAATAAGAATGAAATATATGTATGTGCTTACCTATGGTGTACAATACAGGAGCTTAGGGGAAAGAACTGAGAAAGTGTGAGTTAGTGATCTTTACACCTGCATTTCACAAGTGACTGAGAATGAAGCAGATAAAAGCCATATATTATTATAAAAAGGAAATATATTTATGTGAAGTAGACATCAACATTAGAGATATGTCTGTAATTAAATAGAATTTAAACAGGGTTTCAGTGGAAATTGGTCCTAATATCTTATGATCCATTCATGCGTGACTCTGCCCTGTGAAAATGTGCAGGGGGAACATTCCTGGGTGATGGAATCAGAACTGAAAAAGATATGCAGGTACACGGTGAGGACGGTTGACAACACAGCATTTTTAATCTGCATCTATAGAAAACACTTATATAAGCTCTCTAATGGAGGGATTATAGAAATACATTTGATATATAATAGTGTACTTTTGTGTACTTACTGTGAAAATAGCACATTTATTTAGAGAAGGATTTTATGCCCAAAGTTCTTGTTGATGTTTTGAAATATATCCATTTCCTTCTGTTGTAGTAACTGTTATCAAGAAAAGGAAAAGTACCAACAATTTTCCATTATTCCTCATCAAAAGTCTTCTTTGACTGATAGTTCCCAGAGTCATCTAGAATGTTCACATCAGTAAAATGTTCTAGAAAAAGTCAGAGTTTGTGTTCTGGGAAGCGTCTACATTTGCCTGCATTCATGTCTCGTGCACATGGCCTGCCGCTCGATTCTCCATGTGCCTTCCTCATAAGTACAGTGGCATATGGTGCACTCGTCAGTCTTCACTTCTCTGCCAGCAGGGATCACCGCGGTTTCTGCAAAGCAGTTTGGACCTGAAATGCAGAAAAATGTTTTATACTATATGTGTGCATAAATATATAATATATATAATTAGGTATTAAGCATTACAGTATATATATGTGTGTGTGTGTGTGTGTGTGTGCGTGTATTTGTTTGTTTGTTTGTTTTTGAGACAGAGTCTTGCTCTATCACCCAGGCTGGAGTGCAGTGGCACGATCTCGGCTCACTGCAACTTCTGCCTCCCGGATTCAGGCAATTCTCCTGCCTCAGCCTTTCAAGTAGCTAGGATTACAGGGGCATGCCACTATACCCAGCTAGTTTTTGTAATTTTTGTAGAAATGGGGTTTAACAATGTTGGCCAGGCTGGTCTTGAACTCCTGACTTCAAGTGATCCACCCACCTTGGCTTCCCAAAGTGCTCAGATTACAGGCATGAGCCACTGCACCCGGCCAATGGTACATATTTTATTCAGTTTCTTTTATGAAGGACAGTGGCAAAGTTATAATTTCAGTAATAATGAAATACTCTACTTTTGTTCTGAAATGAAACCAATGCCATTTAATTTTTTTTTTTTTTTTTTTTTTTGAGACAGAGTCTTGCTCTGTCACCAGGCTGGAGTGCAGTGGCACGATCTCGGCTCACTGCAACCTCTGCCTCCGGGGTTCAAGCGATTCTCCTGCCGCAGCCTCCAGAGTAGCTGGGACTATAGGGGCGTGCCACCACACCCAGCTAATTTTTGTATTTTTAGTAGAGATTGGGTTTCACCATGTTGGCCAGGATGGTCTCGATCTCTTGACCTCGTGATCTGCCCGCCTTGGCCTCCCAAAGTGCTGGGATTACAGGTGTAAGCCACCGCTCCCAGCCCATTTAAAATTTTTATAAGAGACAACACTGTGACTTTCATTAACTTTTCCATTTTGGGGCTAAAATCTGCAGCCATTTCGTTTAATTAATTCTAAATACTCACAGAAAAAGCATAACTAAGACCTTCAAAGAACCAGTCCTCTTCAGGACACTTTCAGCAGAGATATCTTAAAACAAGCAAACTGCTTGAAGTGACATAAATTCAGTATACCTTCCAGGCCTCCGAGGGCAGCTTTTCAAACTTTCCCATACATTACAATGGCCTGGAGGGCTGTTGAAAACACTGTTTGCAGAGTTTGTGATTCACTAGGTTTGGGTTGGGGCCTGAGAATTTGCTTTGATAAGTTCTCAGGTGATGTGGATGCTGCTTGTTTGGGGATACACTTTGAGAAGCACCATCTTAGTGTGTTGCAGGAGTCTATCTTTCACAGTTTTCCATGAGAATTGAGGATCTCTGTAATTCTCAATCAATTCTATATCAGCTATAATATATCAGCCAACAAATGTGTCACATCTGCACTTTATGTTAAGATCAAGGACATGGAGAGATGAGTATCAGAAAGAGTTCCAACGTTAGTTAAAACACATTTTTTTTTAAAAGATTAATGGCTTTGTGTTATGGTTCATACCTGTAGATCTCATTCAGCTATGAGCAACTGCTCTACCTCTATACCTCCCTCCAAAATTCAAACACTGGTAATTACTGCATCCTAAATAAAGGCCCTCAACTTTTATCTTCAACAGTTTGCAAAATTCTCATTCTCCTCCCTTCTTTGCTTCTAATATCTTTGATAATGTGCTCACAACCAAAATGTGTTTAATTATAGCGTGTGAAGTCATCAAAGAGATGAAAAAGGTCCATCTGCAAAATTTTAAAAAATAAATTAATCCAGCAAACTCCAGAATAACAACTGGCCTTTGAATAATTCTAAGTACAATAGCTTATGTTCTGTGGTGGTGGTTTTCGAGTTCGCCCAGGAGGTGGAGGGCCCCCGCTTCTGGATGCCCAGCTCTGCACATGGCTGCCTGCTTGCATGTGCCCCCTTCTCCCTCCCTGAACTCTGTTTTCTTTTTTGTTTGTTTTGTGTTTGAGACAGGGTATTGCTCTGTCACCCAGGCTGGAGTGCAGTGGCATGATCATGGCTCACTGTAGCTGCTTCAATCTCCTGGGCTCAAGGGACCCTCCCACCTTAGCCTCCTGAGTAGCTCTGATCAGAGGAGCACACCACCACACCTGAGTAACTTAAAAAAAAAAATCTTTGGAGATATGAGGTCTTTCTATGTTGCCCAGGCTGGTCTCAAACTCCTGGGCTCAAGAGATCCTCCCGCCTTGACCTCCCAAAGTGCTGGGATTACAGGAATGAGTTGCCGCACCCAGCCCTGGACTTTCTTTTCTTCTTGTCCCCTGTTCAGACACTGCCCTAAGGTTCTGCCCTTGAACTCTTTCTCTTTCAGAGAACCCAACAATCATTCATCTGGCAATGACTCCCAAATTTTAGTTCCAATTGTACTTTCTCGCTTGAGCTCCAGTCTTGTGTTTCCAGGGGGCCAGTATCTGCATTACCTGAAAACACCAGATTTATGATGTCTGAGCCCAGTGTCACATATCCATTAGCTTTGGTGAATTGTAAGACTTTAAATTCAAGACCCCTCCCCACCCAGTGGCCCCAAAAGGATATTCTAGTCCTCTCTGCACTCCACCACACCCCACACAACTGGCCTCCACAGTTTGCTGCCTCCCTTGCTCTGCAGTGCATTTTCCTTAGTCCATAAGGCCAACAGTGCCACAGTGACCATTCGGATGGTGCCTATGTTTAAAATTTCCCTAATTACTCATATTTTGGCTCGAGCTGTCTTTGGCATGCCTTCTTTTCTGTATCATCTTTTTTTGCAGAGGTAAATTTGAAAATACAGTCTGCTTTTATTTCACCCTAATATCTGTCATCGTGCTTTGCACAGAGAAGCCACACCATAACTGCCCAGAAGACCTGTATCCTTAGATACAGATACTGACAGGTCTCATCTCCAGAGAAATCTGGATTAAAAATCTGGTACTTAATAGTTATGTGATCTTGGACTGATTAAATTAATTATTGTGTGCCTTAATGGGAATAATAAGACCTCACAGGGCCTCATGAGGGCTAAACTGGATAATTATATTTCACCTATCCTGTTGTTCTACAAATGCTAGCAAAAGTCTTTACCTGAATTAATCTTTCTATGTCAGGGCAACAGTCACTTGTAATGAGTTTTTATCATTCTAAGGTTAACTCTTCATTTTGCATTTTACTGTAGAATATAAAATCTTTATTTTTCATTCTTTTGCAACACATTGAAGTCTTTATTCTTTTTGATGTTCAAATTATCCAAAATTTGGCTAATGGGAGATCTGGACTTCAAGCTAGCTCTCATGTCTTTTTGACACACTCCTTTAATCACTAAAAGCTTCTTTCATTTCTAAACTAAGAAGATATCTTCAGCTGATCTTGCCCATATCTGTAATTAACCTTCTCTCTTCCTTTTGGTGGAGAATATATTTAGAACAAAGACCTGGCTATCACGTGTAGTATACTGACTGGGGTGGCCCTTCTAGGCCTTCTTGGTGGGCACAGATAGGAACACATAAAAACACACATACACATACATTTTTAAAAATTATAAATTCATAATATTAATTATAATTCAAAAATTTTCCTCTTAGATTTGTGTTATGTGTGGCTTTTCTCATACAATGAAACATTTTAACATATTTACTTATTTTGCTTATCCTGTTGTATTTAGATTTTAATTATATGTCTCATTTTACACTAAGACCTGTAAACCAAAAATAAACTTCTAAGTCCCTCACCAATTGAATGGACCCCTCCTTGTGGACAAGGGCATTCCAAAGTTAACCTGAAAACCTGTCTCAGGTCATGATGAAATGTAGGCGTTGGACATGCCTCATTATAACCTCCTCCTTTTGGAATTCAGGCACAGCTGACCAGCTTTACCATTAAAATAGAGATCTTAAAACTGACAAAACAGACTTTTTGTAGCAATAAGAAACCAAATTCCAGCCTGACTCTAGTATTGGCATCACATGACAGACAGTGGTCCCTGAAAGAAATAGATGTATTTTGTCCCAAAATATATTTCTTTGACATATTTTGAAATGGCCCTGCAAGGCTGTCTTTTGTGGGGAAAATCTGCATTCCGTAGACAATCCCCTTCCCTTTCCAGGTCTTTTCCCCCATCCAGGAGAGAATTAATGAAGAGTCTGGCACCTTTATAGGTCTGATAAGAGCTCTGAAGCGTGCTACTGGAGGCTTCATCTGCATGACAAAACTATGGTCTCCACAACCCCTTATCTTAACCCAGACATTCCTTTCTATTGATTCCAGGTCTTTATATGATAGCTCTTTCAAGCAATTGTCAATCAGAACATCTTTGAATACACCTATGACCAGGAAGTGGCCCCCAACTCCACCCTCAGTTTTTAGTTGTCCCACCTTTCAGGACCAAACCAATATATACATTACATGTATTGATTGATGTCTTATGTTACCCTAAAATGTATAAAGCCAAGCTGTGTCCCAATCACCTTGGGCACACATTCTCAGACTCTCCTGGGACTGTGTCATGGACCATGGTTACTCATATTTGGCTCAGAATAAATCTCTTTAAATATTTTACAGAGTTTGACTCTTTTTGTTGACAGACTCTTGTTTATTAAAATCCTTAATATACTCTCCTATTTTTATCCTACTGTTATGTAATTTAAAAATTACAATGCAAATGTCATTCCTAGTAATTAATATATATTTTGCACTTCTTAGAGCCAGCATATTTTGCTCAAAAGTCACTTATCTCTTCTCTGTGTGGTTGTATTATCACTGGCATATAGAGTCAGGTCCATCTGTTCCCATTTATCCTCTCCACTTCATTCCTATTCTGTTACCTCCCACCTCCAGCCATTATGTCAATCATTTTCAGTGATTTCTAATTTATCCTTCGAGTGTAACTTTTTTTAAGAATAAGCAAATTATTTCCTCATTTTTCTTTCACAAAAGGTAACATACTTCTTAATGCTGTGTACTTTGCTTTTTTTCACCTAAAAACATGTCCCAGCTTATCACTCCACATCCATACACAGACCCAGTACTTGTTCTTTATGGCTCCACTGTGTGCCTTCACCATTGTTTATTCAACATGGACTCTATTGATGGGTCACTTGAAACTGGTCCCCCTGCATTTAGGAAACATATAAATGCTTAGCACATTTTTTTTTATCATCTGCTTCAGGCAAGAAAGAGATATAAAAATTGCTGGAATTGATTAGTAAAGCCTGTATTCATGAGGAAAAACAAAAACCAACGAAAACATCAAGTGTTAAAATGATTTAAAACACACAATCCTAGAGGCAGAAAGCAACAATTTACAAGCTGTTTCACATAAGAAAGTTGGGGTGAAGGCAACTCAGCATCTGTACTTCAGATGTTTGTCCCCCACTGCTGTGATTAAAAGAAAATAATAATTCTTGGTAAGAATTTTATGATAGTATGATTTATTAAATTTTTGACAGTTGGCTGGGTGCGGTGGCTCACGCCTGTAATCCCAGCACTTTGTGAGGCCAAGGTGGGTGGATCACGAGGTCAGGAGATCAAGACCATCCTGGCTAACACAGTGAAACCCCATCTATAGTAAAAATACAAAAAAATTAGCTGGGTGTGGTGGCGGGTGCCTGTAGTCCCAGCTACTTGGGAGGCTGAGGCAGGAAAATGGCGTGAACCCAGGAGGCAGAGCTTGCAGTGAGCTGAGGTCGCCGCCACTGCACTCCAGCCTGGGCGACAGAGCAAGACTCTGTCTCAAAAAAAAAGAGAAAATTTTTGACAGTTAATATTTACTATATTCTTTAGCTCTTTGTTCTTTTTTGAATTTTTTGTCCTTATTATTATTTTAACTAGTTACTCTGTTACTAGAAAGGGGTCCTGATCCACACCCCAAGTGAGGGTTCTTGGATTTCATGCAAGAAAGAATTTGGGGTGAGTCCATAGAGTAAAGTGAAAGCAAGTTTATTAAGAAAGTGAAGGAATAAAGAATGGCTACTCCGTAGACAAAGCAGCCCTGAGGGCCACTGGCTGCCCATTTTTATGGTTATTTCTTGATTATATGCTAAACAGGGAGTCAATTATTTATGAGTTTTCTGGGAAAGGGTGGGCAATTCACAGAACTGAGGGTTCCTCCCCTTTTTAGACCATATAAGGTAACTTCCTGATGTTGCCATGGCATTTGTAAACTGTCATGGTGCTGGTGGGAGTGTAGCAGTGAGGATGACTAGAGGTCACTCTCATGGCCATCTTGGTTTTGGTGGGTTTTAGCCGGCTTCTTTACTGCAGCCTGTTTTATCAGCAAGGGCTTTATGACCTGTTTCTTGAGCCGACCTCTTTCTTGCGCCAACATCCTATCTCGTGACTTAGAATGCCTTAACCATCTGGGAATGCAGCCCAGTAGGTCTCAGCCTCATTTTACCCAGCCCCTATTCAAGATGGAGTGGCTCTGGTTCAAACACCTCTGACATCTCCATTAGACAGTAATTTTCTCATTGTAGAGTTTTCTATTGTATTGTAGTTTACAAACACACAAAGTACAATGCACACAAATAAATAAAACTCTTTTTTAAATGATAGAAATCAAGGTTTACCTCACATTAAAATATATTACCAATGAAATTAATTCCAAGAGGGAATGTAAACTTGCTTAGAATGTGAAAAACGAATATTTACCAAAATTTGCTTCCTTTTTGTTTATTTAGTCCCTGATGACTCTGAGGAACTATTGTACTGGTTCTTTCACAGCGTGAGTAAAAGCAGTGGCACTGCTGTAGCAGTGGCTGCTGTGGTGGAGATGGCTGAGTGATGAATGGTCACTTTCCATAGCTATCATGTACTCTCATGATAAGTACTGTCTTTTACCCCTTTTCCTAATACATCATAGAACTGCCCATGTTGAATATGCTGCTTCTGTCTTAACACAGTACAGTTGAGGTGATGGAAGGTCAATTTATGTTTCAAATAAGCTGTATAAATGTGGACCCTTAAAAATTCCTAAAGTAAGCTTTCTTCATCTTAAGTGATTTTTAGCTTAAGGAGGGGATTATTCAGATAACAATTAGAATTAATACATGATGGCCTGGCACGATGGCTCACACCTCTAATCCCAGCACTTTGGGAGGCTGAGGTGGGTAGATTATGAGGTCAGGAGTTCAAGACCAGCCTGGCCAAGATGGTGAAACCCCATCTCTACTAAAAATACAAAAATTAGCCAGGTGCAGTGGCAGGTGCCTATAATCCAAGCTACTTGGGAGGCTGAGGCAGGAGAATTGCTTGATCCTGGGGAGAGGAGGTTGCAGTGAGCCGAGATCGCGCCACTGCACTCCAACCTGGGCGACAGAGTGATACTCCATCTCAAAAAAAAAAAAAAAAATTAATATATGCTATGTTGCTATTTTTTCCTGCTTCAAATATTTAGTTATGATGTAAAGTTACTGCTCTTGTAATAGGTAAGTTCTTTTTGAATAAAAACCATGTAAAAGTGGTAAGTTATAAAAATTTAACTAAAATGTAAATTTGGATTTTTACAACAGATTTTAATTACTGAAATTTTTTAAAGCCTTCCTCCTATAAGCAGCATTCCTAATAAATCAATCAAGTTGTGAGATTGTTTCAACCAAGTCCCTCTAAACATGTGTATCTACATGCATGTGCATTTATTTTCTTTTTAAAAACATACTACTTTTTAAAAATTTGTTTTATTTTGAAATCAAACCTGGAAGTTGCAAAGGGAGTAGGAGGTCCTATGCAGCCTTCACTCAGTTTTTTTCCCAAAGTTACAGCTTACATGATTATAGAATAATACAGGAGTGAAGAAGAAATCACTTAGGCAGATAGTGAGGGTATGGGAGTCCTCGGTAAAGCTTTTCTTTTAATGAAAAGCAGCCTCAAATCATTTTCTAACAAAGAGCAGCCTGTAAAGTTGAGCTGCAGACATAGACAAGCTGGGAGCTTACAAGAGTCAATGCCAGCAGGAACTACTGACTAGACATGTTCAAGATGGTGGCTCCATCTTCCCTTCTCTGCCAGCCATGTGTATAGTAAGGAGCAGATAAGATGGCAACCACCAAGGGGAGAGTTCATTTACAAAATAAGATTAGGGTGGGGTGACCAGCCTTCCCCCATGCTATGTAAATGTCACATCTGATCCAACCAATCTGTGAGCCCTATGTAAACCAGACATTGCCTCCTCAAGGCGGAATATAAAATCCAGCGCATCTGCCACCAGCCAGTCTTTCCTCTTGGAAGTCCCTTCTCTCTCACTAGAGAGAGAGCTGTTCTTTCTCTTTCTTCTGCCTATTAAACCTCCGCTCCCAAACTCTTTGTGTGTGTCCCTGTCCTAAATTTTCCTGGAGCAAGACCACAAACCCTGGGTATATACCCCAGACAACGTAGCCACTTCAATAATATGTGCATATACGTCTATGTTATTTGATTGCATATACAACTTTGTGTAATCACCACCCAATCAAGACCTCCCTCTGCCACCCTATATAGTCACACTGCACCTTCTCTGGCCCCACCATCTTTAACCCCTCAGGGCTGATAATATTCTCCATATCTATTGTTTTATTATTAAAAGAATACTACGTAAGTGGAATCATATAGTATCAAAAGTGGGCTTTGGGATTGGCTTTTAAAACTCAGCATAAAGCCTTTGAGATCTATCCAAGTTGTGGTGAGTATCAATAGTTCATTCCTTTTAACAGGTAAGTTGTATTCCATGGTATGGCTGTACCACAGTTTAATAATTTAACAACTGAGTGGCATTTTGTTTTTTTCCAGTTTTGAGCTATTATAAATAAAGCTGAATATTTTCTGTGAACATAGTCTTTCTCCTAAATGAAAGCACAGGAGAAATACAACTACCACAATTGCTGGATTGTGTGGTAGCTGAGTATTTAGTTTTATAAGAAACTGACAAACTGTTTTCCAGAATGTCTATAAAATTTACAGTCCAACCACGAATCCAGTTTACTCACATCTTTACCAGCATTTGATCTTGTCACAAGTTTTTGTTTTAGCCATTATATTGATGTATAGTGATATCTCAAGTTTTAATTTGTATTTCCCTAGTGGCGGGTGATGTTCATCTTTTCATGTGTTTATTTGCCATTTTATATCTTCATCTGTGAAAGGACTCTTCATGTATTTTGCCTATTTTCTAACTGAATTGTTTGGTGTTTTTATTGTTTAATGTTGTGTTATTTATATGTTCCACGTACTGTTCCTTTATCAGACATGTGGTTTACAAATATTTTATCTGAGCTTGTAGCTTTCTATCATCTTAAAGGGGTCTTTGATAAAAGAAAAAATTTATATTTCAAAAAAATTTTATATTTCAATGCGATCAAATGCATCAATTTTCTATCTTATGGATCCTGCTTTTGATGTCCTAACAACTCATCAAGAAGCCCTACGTCCTAAAGTTTTTTTCTTGTTATTTCATAAGAATGTTATACTTTTATGGTTTACATTTAAATCTATGATCCATTCTGAGATAAATTTTTCATAGGGTGTGAGGTTTGGGTTTGAGATTCTTTTTTTTTTTTTTTGGCTACGGATATCCAATTGTTACAGTGTCATTTGTTAAAAAAACAAGCAAACAAACAAACAAAAAACTACCCTTTCATTGAGTTACCTTTGCACCTTTGTCAAAAATAAATTTGCTGTACTGTTGTGGGTCTGTTTCTGTGTTCTGCTGTTCCACTGATCTATGTGTCTGTCCTCTTCACAATACAATAGATTTTAAATGGGGTGGAATGATTCTTCCCTCTTTATTCTATTCCAAAATTGTTTGTATATTTAGGACAACAGTTTTTTTTATGTCTTTTGCAAATGTTTTCTTCCAGTCTGTGGTTTGCCTTTCATTCTTTTGAGAACATCTTTCAGAGAGCAAAAATTTTTAATTTTAATGGAGGCCAGCCCATCAATTCTTTCTTTATTATTCATGTTACTGATGTTGTATCTAAAAATTCATCACCAAACCCAAAGCTATCTAGACTTTCTCCTATGTGATCTTCTACGACTTTTATGGTTCTATGATTTACATGTAGGTATATAATCTATTTTAAGTTAATTTTTATGAAGGGTGTAAAGTCTGTCTCTTGATTTATTTTTTCACATGTGGATGCTCAGTTGTTCCAGTACCATTCGTTGAAAAAACTATCATTGTTCCATTGTACTATGTTTACTCTGTTAGCAAACAGTGTTAGCTAACAGTGTTAGCAAACAGTGTTCATATTTATCTGAGTCTATTTCTGGGCTCTCTATTCTGTTCCATTGATCAATGTGTCTATTCTTTTGCCAATACCACACTGTCTTGATTACCATTGCTTTATATTAAGTTCAGCTACGTTTTTCTCTTTCAATATCGTGTTGGCTATTCTAGGTCTTTTGCCCCTCCAGATAAAACAGGATCCGTTTTGATAACTATAAAATTGCTTCCTGGGATTTTGTTTGGGATTGTGTTGAATCTATTGCTCAACAATAGATCTTGATAATGTTGAGTCTTTCTATCCATGAACTTGAAACATCTCTCTATTTATATATTCTATGATTTTTTCTATCATAATTTTATATTTTTCCTCATATAGATCTTATGTATATTTTGCTAATTTTATACCTAAGTATTTCTTTTTGGTGATAGTAATATAAATGTATTATGTATTTAATTTTAAATTACAGTTGTCATTTGCTAGTATATAGGAAAGTGATTGAATTTTGTCTATTAACCTTGTACACTGCAATCTTGCTTATTAGTTCCTGAAGTTTTTTTTCTTGATTGTTTTGAATTTTCTACACAGACCATCATGTCATCTGCAAACAAAGACAGTTTTATTTCTTCTTTCCCTATCAGTATACATTTTATTTCTTTTTCTTGTCTTATTGCAGTAGTTGGGACTTCCACTATGATGTTGAAAGGAAATGAAGAAAGGAGACAGCCTTATTTTGTTCCTAATCCTGGTGGGAAAGCTTCAAGTTTCTCAACAGTAAGTACGATGTTGTAGGTTTTTTGTAAATAGTCTTTATCAAGTTGATGAAGTTCTCCTCTGTTCCTAGTTTACCTTATCATAAAAGGGTGTTAGATTTTGTCAGGTCTTTTTTCTGTATCTACTGATATCATCGTGATTTTTCTTCTTTAGCCTGCTGATGTGATGAATTAAGGCATACCTGGGATAAATCCCATGTAGTTGTGATGTATAATTATTCTTACACATGGTTGGGTTCAATTTGCTAATAGTTTGTTGAGGATTTTTGCATCTATATTCTTAAGAAATATTAGTCTTTAGTTTTCCTTTCTTGTAGTGTCTATGTCTGGTTTGGTAATAGGGTAACGCTGAAAGAAATTGTAAAATATTGATATCAGTTCTTCCTTAAATGTTTGGTATAATTCACCAGTGATCCTATCTGGGTCCACGGTGCTTCCTGTTTTGGAAGGATGTTAATTATTGATTATATCTCTTTTATATATATAGACCTATTTGGAGTATCTATTTCATTTTGTGTGAGCTTTGTCAGATTGTGTCTTTCAAGGAATTGGTTCATTTCATCTTGATTATTAAACTTGCAGGAATAGGATTGTTTGTAGTATTTTTTTATTATCCCTTTAATGTCCATGGGATCTGTAATGATGTCCTCTCTTTTGTTTCTTATAGCAATTTGCATCCTCTTTTTTGTTCTTAGCTTGGTGAGATACTTAGAACTTTTATTAATCTTTTCAATAAACAAGCTTTTGTTTTAATCAGCTTTCTCTATTGTTTTCCTGTTTTAAATTAATAGATTACTGCTCCATTTATTTTCTTTGGCCTACTTTGAAATTAATTTGCTCTTCTTTTTCTAGTTTCTAAAGGTGGAAGCTTAGATTATTGGTTTTAGATTTCTTCTTTTCTAATTTATGCATTCAATGCTACAAATGTCCCTAAAGTCCTGCTTTCACTATATCCCACACATATATTTTTATTTAGTTTAAAATAAACTAAATTTTTATTTAGTTTAAAATATTTTTAAACTTCTCTTGAGACTTCTAGGCTCCATGTGTTATTTATAAGTTTATTGTTTAACATTCAAGTATTTGGGGACTTTCCAGGTATCTTTCTATTACTGATATCTAATTTAATTCCCTTGTAGTCTGAGAGCAGCTATTGTATGATTTCCATTTTTCAAAATTTATTAAGGTATTTTATGACCCAGAATGTGGTCTATCTTAGTAAGGGTTCCATATCATCTTGAGAATAATGTGTATTATGCTATTGTTGATGAAGTAGTCAATAGATGTCAATTATATCCACTTGACTCATGGTACTCTTCAGGTCAACTATGTCCTTACTGATTTTTCAGCTTCCCGAATCTATACATTTCTGGTAGAGGGGTGTGGAAATATGCAAGTATAAAAGTGGATTCACCTGTTTCTTCTTGCAGTTCTATCAGATTTTGCCTCATGTGTTTTGATACTGTTTTCAGGCAAATGCATATTGAAGACCTGTGTGTCTTCTTGAATAATTGACTCATTTATCATTATATAATACCTCCCTCTGGCTGATAACTTTCCTTGTTCTAAAGTCTGCTCTGTCAGAAATTAATATAGCTACTTATCCTTTATTTTGATTAGTCTTAACATGGTGTAACTTTATCCATCCATTTACTTTGAAGCTATATAGTAGTCCCTTTTTATCCACAGTTTTGCTTTCCATGGTTTCAGTTACCCATGGTCAACTGCAATCCAAAAACATTAAATGGAAAATTCCAGAAATAAAAAACTCCTAAACTTTAATTTTTTTGCACTGCTCTAAATAGCATGATGAACATTCATGCCATCCCATGCCATCTTTCCTGGTACATAAATCATCCCCTTGTCTAGCATATTCTTGGTGTGTATGCTACTCACCCATTATTATAAGGGAAAAACATAGTATGTATAGGGTTCAATACTATCTAAGGTTTCAGGCATCCACTGGGGGTTGTAGAACATATCCTTTGTGGATAAGGGGGGATAGTCTATGTGTCTGATTTCTTGCAGACAACAAATAGTGGTGTGTTGTTTTTGATCCCCTTTGAAAATCTGTTTCTTGGTGTATATAGCCCATTTATGTTCAAAGTGACTGTTAATATAGTTGAATTAATATCTGCCATATTTCTCACTATTTTCTATTTGTTGCACTTGCTCTTTGTTCCTGTTTTTGTCTTCAACTTTTTTATGCTTTTTGTGGCTTTAATTTAGCACTTTATGATTCTATTTTTCTTCTTTCTTAGCATACATGGTATATTTCCTTTTTTACTTTTTATAGGGGTTGCCCTAGACTTTGCAGTATACAGCTAACATAAGTCAGCTTTCAAATAACACTAAACCACTTTGTGGGTAATGAGAGTATCTTATAATAACAAAATAAACCTAATTCTTCTTTTTATCCATTGTCCTACTGCTGTCATTCATTTCTGTTATACATAAGCTTATGTAGGTTATGTATATTTTACATATATTTTACATATATGGGTATGTGTGTGTGTATGCTTATGATATGTGTGTGTGTATATACATATGTAATGTGTTGTAAGAAAAAATCACCACTCTAGAATTTTGTAGCCTGCAGAATTAACTTTCAAAAGTGAAGGAGTAATAAAAACTTTGTCAGACAAACAAATATTGAGGGATTTGTGGTTAGTAGACCACCCTTACAAGAAATGTTCAAAGTTCTTTAGCGAGAAAGAAAATTGTATGGGTAAGAAACCCATATCTAAATAAAGAAAGAAGTAACATCATAGAAAGAATAAGTGAAGGTTTTTTTAAAAAAAAAAACTTCGATGTTTTCTTACCTTGATTTAAAAGATAACAGTTCATAATAACAGCAACAATGTATTTATGCTTATATCTGTGTGTTTGTGTGTGTGTATATACATATATAAAGCATACATATATACACACACATATATACACACACACATATAAAGCATACACATATATATACACACACACATACATACACACACACACACACATATATGTAAAGCATACATAATGGTTGTACAGGAAGGCTATAGTGGGCTAAAGTTGAGTATTTCTCTTCACCCAGATCAGTTAGGCTCTGATAAAACCCTAGCAGGTTAAGTTCTTGTTAAACAGTTTCTCCTGAGAACTGAGAAGAACACAATGCTCTGGAGTGTTTCAAATGGCTATTTTTCCCCTCCCCCTGCAAGAAGTGTGAGCGAATTTTTCTCTAATATTCACTGTGAGAACCTTGTTGAGCTCCTGGCAGTAAAACTCAAAGTGTGGGAACTGTGACCCTATGACTGAATCCCTGTGGAGTTTTTTACTTTCAAGCTTGTCCAGCAAACTTCCAGCAATTCATCAGTTACCGGTTAGGTTTTCCTCAATTACAGTTTACATTTTCCTAACCCAATACTGGTTCCCATGGAGCTTTCTGCTCAGGTAAGTTGTGATTTTCTGTATTTGCCTACAGGTCTCTTCAATTTGGAGAGTAACAGTTTGTCCTGTGACCTCTGAGGGATCCAAGAAGAGTTGTTGATTTTTTAGTTTGTTCAGAGTTTTACCTGTTTTTAGGATAGAGTTGCAACTTCCAAGCTTCTACATGCCAGACTGGAAACTCTATTGATCAGTGTTTGAGTACTAAGCCAACTTTGGCATATCTGGAATAAACTCCCCTTGTTCTTGGCATGCAATTCTTCTTCTGTATTGATGTATTCTTTTTATCAATATTTTAAAAGAAATTTTGTGGCAGTATTCATGCAAAATATTGACCTGTATTTTTTTCACTGTCTTTGGTTTTGGTATCAGGATAATAATAACTTCATGGAATGAGTTGGGAAATTATTGGATGAGATTTAAGGATACTAATTAATTCTTCTTTCAATGTTTGGTATTACTATTGAGTTTGAGTTTTTAAAAAATTATCAATCCGGCCGGGCGCGGTGGCTCACGCCTGTAATCCCAGCACTTTGGGAGGCCGAGGCGGGTGGATCATGAGGTCAGGAGATCGAGACCATCCTGGCTAACAAGGTGAAACCCCGTCTCTACTAAAAATACAAAAAATTAGCCGGGCGAGGTGGCGGGCGCCTGTAGTCCCAGCTACTCGGGAGGCTGAGGCAGGAGAATGGCGTGAACCCGGGAAGCGGAGCTTGCAGTGAGCCGAGATTGCGCCACTGCAGTCTGCAGTCCGGCCTGGGCGACAGAGCGAGACTCCGTCTCAAAAAAAAAAAAAAAAAAAAAAAAATTATCAATCCAATTTTCTTAATAGTTCTCAAGCGAATTATTTCATATTGAATGAATTGAGGTAGTTTGCATTTTTTGAGGACTTTGTCTACATCTTCTTACTTGTTAAATTTATGTGCATAGAGTCGCTGATAATATTCCTTCATTTTCTTTTTAATGTCTGTTGGACCTGTAATCATACCTCCTATTTTATGACTTATTTTAGTAATTCATGTCTTCTTTCTTTTCTTCCTTTGTCTTGCTATGTGTTTAATTGTTGATCTTTTCAAAGAACCAACCAGTTTTTGGTTTCATTGATTTTCTTACATGATTTTTTGTTTTCAATTTTACTGATTTTTGTTCTCATCTTTACTATTTTTTCTTTCCATTGCTTTTGGTTTATTTTGCTTTGCTTTTTCAAGTTTCTTCAAGTAGGAACTTAATTATTGATTTAGGAATTTTTTTCTCTTTTCTAATGTGAGCATTTCATTCCATATGTTTTCCTTTTAGCACTGCTTTATCTGTCTCTCACAAGTTGTGATGTGTTATACTTTCCTTTTTTTGAAGTAGAGTCTTGCTCTTTCACTCAGGGTAGAGTGCAGTGGTGCAATCTCAGCTCACTGCAACCTCCACCTTCTGGGTTCAAGCGATTCTTGTGCCTCAGCCTCCTGAGTAGCTGGGACTACAGGCATGCACCACCAAACCTGACTAATTTTTGTATTTTTAGCAGAGACAGGGTTTTACCACATTGACCAGGCTAGTCTCAAACTCCTAACCTCAAGTGATCCACCCACTTTGGCCTCCCAAAGTGCTGGTATTACAGGTGTGAGCCACCACACCGGACCTGTACTTTCTTTTTCATTAAACGTTTACTTTAATTTTATAGACTTGAAGCACAATAACTACTAAGAATCTTGGGAAAATATATCACTCATGACTACCTGGTGAATGAAAATATGAATTACTTAAGAGAATGTATAAAATTTATACATATATACAAATGGATTCTACTATTATAATTACTCAATGCAAGTAACCTCCCATACATTTAACTTCATTATTAAGTGGGAGAATGGGTTAATCTTAATTAATTAACATTGATTATACTTAATTTTCATATTTATATGCTACTTAATTTTTATATTTATATGCTATATATTACAAGAAATATGCAGGCAGAAAAATTATATAAATATGAAAAATGAGACTCAGAGAGACTATTAGTCCAAGTCCTATGGCTGATAATTAATTACTGATATGTTACATTGTGTTGATTTTGCATGGTTTCAGTTAAAGGATGCTCTGGTTAAAAATGATTAATTTTGAAATTGCTATAGGATATAATGCTTTTCTTGCCTCATGGACAGCTGATAAACCTGGCTTAACTGATTTTTTCTGTGATCATTTGATGTCAGAGCAGAGGGTTCACATTGTGAAGGGTTTTTTTGTTGTTTATACCATCTGGACTCCATGAGTATGTCCACCCTGCTCACTGGTGCTGATGCACAATGCTGTGATCTGAATATTGGTGTCCCCCTGGAATTCGTACATTGAAACTTAATCAACAATGTGATAGTATTAAGAGGTGAAGCCTTCAGGAGGTGATTAAGTCATGAGGGCAGAGCCCTCATGAGTGGGATTTGGTGATCTTAGGAAACAAATGTGAGGGAACTGTTCATCCTTTCCATCCCTCCCCTGCCCACTGTGTGAGGACGCTACCATGGCAAGACACCATCAATTGAACAGGCCCTCTCCAAACACCAAATCTGCAAGTGCCTTTATGTTGGACTTCCCAGCCACTAGAACTGTGAGAAAATACATTTCTGATGTTTATAAATTACCCAGCCTGTGGTATTTTGTTATAGTAGCATGAATGGACTTAGACATATAGTATCAGAATGGCCTAGCACATTTAACAAAAACTCACTCTTGACTGGGGAAGAGCCATCTTCCATCCCTTAAAAAAAGTCTTTCACAACATGTCTCCTGCAATGCAGAGGCTGTGTTCGGCGCCTACTGCTGCCCTAGTTGCCAGCACACTCTAGCCCAGGATAGGTGCTTGCACTTAGCGCTGAACAGATGATAAGGCTGTAGCTTACAAATTCCAAATCTGGCTAGAACCTCTTGGGCTATTTTTAGTTGAGCCTCCCCTCCTGGCTGCTCCTGTGTCTCCAGCAAAACAGCCTTCTCAGTGACAGCCCTAGGCCCCCACCCACGCTTTTCCCTGATTGGAAGTCCCTCAGGACAGGAGCCAACACAGCACTGCAGCCTCACCCTAGGGTCTAGTGCTGCATGCAGCACAGAGCTAGAGCTCAGTATATGTACAGTTGAGTTAAGTCTTCAAATTAAATAATGAATTGGCATACTGAAATAAAAGTATCACAGCTGAGTTGGTGGATAAATTGCCACTATGTTTTGGATTTTTATAACAAGGGATGGTAAGCCATAGGAAGACTGTGTTGATGAACAAGGATCAGGTGCAGTGGCTCATGCCTGTAATCATAACACTTTGGGAGGCCGAGGCAGGTGGACTGCTTGAGCCCAGGTGTTCAAAACCCCGTCTCTACAAAAAATACAAAAATTAGCCGGGCATGGCGGTGCTATCTATAATCCCAGCTATTCAGGAGGCTGAGGTGGGAGGGTCACCTGAGCCTGGGTGGTCGAGGCTGAGGTGAGCTGTGATTGTGCTACTGCACACCAGCCTGGATGACAGAGTGAGAACCTGTCAAAAGAAAGAAAGAAAAGAAAAAGCCTAGAAACGACACACATAGGTGTCTATGTCATATCTCCTCCCCTTCCAGAAAAAGCCTAGAAACGACACACATAGGTGTCTATGTCATATCTCCTCCCCTTCCATCCAGGACTAGGTGTTGAGGAATGGTTCGTCACACCAGAATGACACAGCCCCCATGGAGCAGAACTCCAAGCAGTGAGAGCCCAGCAGGGTCCAGCATCTGCTTGTGGCAACGCATTTTATTTTAGGCACTAGACTATTGGTAATTTTTTTCCATTTTCTGAAATTAAACAACAGATAATTCCCAAGTATTCCAAACTTTACATCCCAAACCTCTTTTGAAACAGCTGCTTTTTCTGTAACTTATTGTAAATTATGTTCCTTAGCACCAGCTCTGACTGCCAAATGTAAAATTTCCCAACTGTTATTTATACAGAGGAATCAACATCTATTGTATTTCGATTTCCCTTTTATATACCTGACATATTTTAGTTTCACAGGGTACTGGTCTCAAAAGGATAAAAAAAAAAAAAACTGGTTTCCTAAGATACATTTTCATTTCACTAAGAGTAAACTAAAAATATGTTGATGTGTTTGTGCACATTTATTTGTTCATGTGGACATGTGTGTTTTCCTAGTAAGGACCTAGTACAAAATCATTTTTAACTAAGAGTTCAAATGAGCAAAAGTTTTTAAAGAGGGACTAAAACAAGCACGAAAAAAATCAAATTTTGTCTCTATGGAAGAAATAATCTTCATCAAAAGAAAACGCCTGCCAGCTTGAAAACTATCCTGCCAAATTAATATCCTGTCTTTCTCAGTGACTCCCAGGGAGTGCTATGCAGGAATAGGAGCCCTTCTTGTAGTTTATACTCTTCCTTCCAGCCCTCTGGGAACATGCCGTATTCTAGATTCGTGGAACCTAGTGCATAACTCCTTGATTACCCTGTTCCAATCCTTTCAAGTTGATTTATCATATGCCACCCAGTCTCCACCAAAATTCAAGATATAAAATATATCTCCATTTTTAAAGGCTAAAGTATTCTCATGCTCAACATTCTCAGGAAACAGAAATAATATGTCCTCCTCAAAGGAATAAAAAAGGAAAAATATTTCCCAAAGTTCATATTCCAATATAGCAAAAGGTAACCTGTTTAAAAAAGTGTCCCCGCTGTCAAATAAATTGGGGACAGGCTTCATTAAACAACTTAAGTGAGGATTCTTCATTGAAGATCTTTTCAGAACCTTAATTATGCTAACATATACTGAGAACCTCAGCGAAAGGGGCAGAGTGGGCAGCATTTTCTAAATTCACTTGACCATAGAAGTCTTTTCTCACAGTTATTAGGATCTGATGAACATTTATATTCATTCCACGGAGCAGTGTTTGAAAAATGAACGAATAAAATGTAAGTAAAAAAATGTCACTGTCTCCTTTGCACACAATATGCAGAACTGAGAGGCAGATCCCTGGGGCTTGCACAAGCTAACTCACTGGGCAAGTATTATTACATAGGCCTTCCCACCCAGCTGAGAGAGCACACACAAAAATGCCAACACAGCATGAAACTGCAACACAAATCAAGAAACAGAACATGACCAGGGCCTGGGAAGCCCCCTCATGTGCCTTTGCTGATTTCTAACAGAATAAAATAGGTTTGCCTATCTCTGCACTCCTTAGATAATCATAATGTATATACCCCTGTATAGCAGGACTTCTTTTCCTCAATATTATGTTCATAAGATTTATTCACATTGTCGAAGTAGCTTTACTTATTTCATTCTCATTGTTGCATGTTTCTTGCCTTAAAATCTACTTTGTCTGGCCGGGCGCGGTGGCTCACGCTTGTAATCCCAGCACTTTGGGAGGCCGAGGCGGGCAGATCACGAGGTCAGGAGATCGAGACCATCCTGGCTAACACGGTGAAACCCCGTCTCTACTAAAAATACAAAAAAAATTAGCCGGGCGTGATGGTGGGCGCCTGTAGTCCCAGCTACTCGGGAGGCTGAGGCAGGAGAATGGCGTGAACCCGGGAGGCGGAGCTTGCAGTGAGCCGAGATTGCGCCACTGCACTCCCGCCTGGGCCACAGAGCGAGACTCCGTCTCAAAAAAAAAAAAAAAAAAAAAAAAAAAAAAATCTACTTTGTCTGTTCTGCCAACTGCATTCTTTTGGTTATAATTTATAGGGTCCGTATTTGTATCTTTTCATTTTATGAATATATCAAAATTTATTTACTACTCTTGATAGACATTTACTTTCTACTCTTGATAGATATTTACTTTAAAGTATCTATCAATAGCAGAAAGTTAGAGTACTATAGTGGTAGCTATTAAAAGGACCTATTATGAAGTAAAACATTCTTCCATAAGCATTTTTAGAAGTGTCCTTGCTGTGCAACTATCACAGGAATGGAAGAGTTGGGTCACAGGGCATGTGTACTTTCAGCTGTAGCAGAAAGCAATAAATGTTTTCCCAAAGTGATTACATCAGAATCAGTATATAAGAACTCCAGTTGATCCAGAGCTTGATGTTGGTATTATTGCTGTTTTTTTTTATTGTTATATTTTATCGACCCTGGCGGATGTGCAATAGTATCGAATGGTGGCTTTAACTTGCATTTCCTTGATGACTGATTGTTTGGATATTCTCTGCTAATATGTGTCTTTTGAAGTATCTTGTCATTATTTTCTACTGGTTGTCAAGTCCTTATTTATTTGTCAGAATTTTCATGTACTCTGCAAAAGTCCTTTGTCTGATGTGTGATGACAAATAAAACTTCCAATTATAATTATGGAATTGTCATCTCTCTTTTTAGTTCTTTCCAATTTTGCTTTACTTTAAAGCTATGCTATTAGTTACATATATAATTAGCAGAGTAATGTCATCTGGCTAAATTGAGGCTTTTATCGCTTGTCTCAAGAGATGCTTCTTGCCTTAAAATCTACTTTGTCTGTTCTGCTAACTGCATTTTTTTGGTTATAATTTATAGGGTCCATATTTGTATCTTTTTACATTCAACATTTTTGCCATCCTGCAGTTAAAGTGTCCCTTGAAAGCAGAATATGGAGTTTAAGAAACTGTGTTTGAAAATCTTTGTCTTAAAAATATATTTAATTGATTTTTATTCAATATAGTAATGAATATATTTGGCTTAAATCTATGGCCTTAGTAGTTCTTTCCTATTTAGCCCATCTTTTTTTGTTCCTTTTATCTCATTTGTTGTCTTCTAAAGGACCTTTTTTTTATGCCTGTTTACCCGTCTCCTGGCTTGTGAGTTTCCTATTGCCTGATACAAATCCTTAAATACAAATCTTAAAAGAATCTTAAAGTAAGGAGGTGAACCTGGGGTTTATCTCAGTGAGCCTTCCTTTCCTGTGAGAGCTAGACCTTCAAGTCCTTTGTTCTCTCATGCTTTCAAATCAGTTTTTTTTTTTTTTGTTTTGCTTTGTGTTTTAATGTGTGTGCATTCTATCCCTTAGATTTGTTCTCAGTAGTGGGAGTTACTCTCATGCACCCTGTTCCATCATGGCTAAAAGTAGCTTTGGGATGATTTCACTGTCACAGTATATTTGACTAACAATTCCCAAATAAGAAAGGAGCAGATCCTAAGTATCCCTATAAAATGAGAAGTTAGCCTGCAGAAATTGATAAGGTGTTATGATTCTATAGTTCAGTAGGGATGCTAACCTAGAGATGTTATGGATTTATTGGTCTGTAAAAAGTCAAACAGCATATTATGTAATTTAGCAATCTTATATATGCATTCCTTTCCATACTGACTGTTGTAAATCCCTGTTTTTGAACAAGTTCTTTTGTCTTCCTGATGGTCCTACCATTAGAAATTAAATACAATTTTGCATGTGTCCCTGATCCATTTATGTCAGAATATAATTTATATAATAGAATTTCAAAGTTTTTATCAAATACGCTTGACCTGGGAAAATTATTAGGATAGTACATCACCTTGTCTTTTTGCTACTTATGCAGTTGTTCATTGTTAAGACCACAGAGCTCTGCTTCATCTGTGTTAATATTCCCTCTGTTCCTAAAGGAGATGTATGGGTGTTAAATGTGAGGTGGGAAATTGAGGCTTTGAAATGCTCAAACTACAAAATATTAGGCCTTGGTGTTCTTTGTTCTGATACTTCAACACTCAGATGGGAAAACTGAAACCTAGAATTAGATCCCAATTCTAATCACAAGATTAAAATTGAGATTAGTTATTTGACTCTTTTGCAAAACATATATTTGTCTCTCAAACTTTTTCAGTGGGATCTAACATGCCAGATGGTCTCCCTATTTCAGAATTGCAAGCGTGAATGACGGCATACTGGGGCACCTATTTGTTATCGTTAAAGACCAACTTGGACTATTTGAATTCAAATAGAATATATTCAAAATATGTTAATCAGGTTTGTTGTTTATTTCCAATAAGTTCTTTTTTCTTCCAGTACAATTTCAGTGGTCACTGGCAAAAGCAACGTGAAAGCCTTGAGGAGCTCCTAGGGCAAACTTAAGGAGCAAAAAGGGTCTGCATGGATGGCCATTGTGTGTCCCCAGAATTCTGACTAGGTCATCACCCTGTAGCCGCTCCTCTTTTCATCCTCGCCTTTGACCAGCCTTGGTGTCTAGCTCCCGGGACTCCTTCTTTCACTGGACCCATTTCAATGTCTTAGCTGCCCTGATTTTGTCATCATCTTCTGCCTCTCATGCATTTCTTCCCTCTACTTCCCCACATTTGAGGCATAACAATTTCAAGTATGTGGGAAAGCACTAATGTTGCCATGATATGTTTAAATTATACTGTCTTATTTTTATAGTTAGACCTCAATTCACTGGTTACTATGACATGCCGTCAAGTTTAACCTTCACAATAGAAGCCTAAGTAGCATCTTGAAAAACAGAAAAATGGCAACACCAGGAAATGCCCCTTCTCCAAATTCCATTAATATATTTTAAAAGTCACAAACATCAGCTTGTTTGTGATGTGACTATGAAGTGAATGTGATGTGACTCAGAAATGAGGGAATAATCATTTGTAATGTACCCAGAAGAAACAAAAGATGAGCATTCCCTGTATATCTGGTCTCACTTGCAACTCCAATTCAGAAAGCAGCACTCAGCCTACAGCCTGTCAGTGTGGTCCAGGTGGCCCCTACTTGCGTCAGCCCAATGGGTCATCCCCAGCTCCATCCTCCATATGTCTGCTGAGGTACACTTCTTTTGTTTTTTTTTGTTTTTGTTTTTGTTTTTTTTGAGATGAAGTCTCGCTCTTGTCCCCCAGGCTAGACTGTGATGGTGCGATCTCAGCTCACTGCAACCTCCGCCTCCCGAGTTCAAGCGATTCTCCTGCCTCGGCCCCCAAAGTAGCTGAGATTACAGGCGCCTGCCACCACGCCTGGCTAATTTTTGTATTTTTAGTAGAAACGGGGTTTTACCATGTTGGCCAGGCTAATCTAGAACTCCTGACCGCAGGTGATCCACCCACCTAGGCCTCCCAAAGTGCTGGGATTACAGCGGTGAGCCACCGCGCCTGGCAAAAGGTGCACTTCATAAACACCCTTGGGCCAGGGAGTGTGCTGGGATGCAGGCTGCCTGAGGCTTCAGGGAGGCCTGCTATGATCTCAGATACTGAAGCCAGTCCTTCTGAACTGGTCTTAACCCCTTCATAGTGACATGGTACAAAGGATGAATGGAATGTTATGAATTAGAAAAAAATCAATATTACTAATAGAATAAAATGTAGTGAAATCAGTTTTGTAGCTCTATACCATACCTAAATTGATAATCTGAACAAGAACTAAATTTAGGAAAATCAGTGATCATCTAAATAATAGCTACAGAGTTAACAAAATCGACAAATACCAAGTTACTGTGAACAAATAAGGAAAAGTAGAATTAGGAGCAGGATTAAACCTAAGAAGATAAGGAAAAAGGAAACTTAGTGGTGTCTTGATTAGTATTTAACTGGCTGTCAGAAAATTTTTTAAAAGGTCCAGAAAAAAATAATTGCCATTGACTACTTCCACCAAGGCCAATTTTGAGCTACTAATGTGACCTCACTGAAGAGGCTGAGAAGAGTCTCTGAGTTGGACAGAGATGTACATGATCAATTATCAAAGCCAGTATGAGCCTGCCTCTAGCAACAAGGACAAATACATGATACCAAGTGGTTGTGAAGGGCAATGCATTGTGAAACAGGCTACAGATACACAAATGTAAATAAGCGAATGAATAAACATAGATTGGAGAACTGTGAATAAATACAACGCAAGGAAGAAACCAGCAGCTAGTCTGGTGGTTAAGTGCAGTAGGCTAGAACATTTGTGAATAGATATTTCTGGGGGATGGGAGAGAAGTTCCATATCTAGAAAGTGCATTCCAGACAGTGGAAGTGCCATGGGTTGGTGTGGTGTTGTATAGACTTCCTAATTCAACAAATGGAGACACTTGCATTTGAGCTGGGCCCCGGGATGAACCTCTCTGATAATTCACCGAAATTTTAGAAGGGCTTATTTTACTGCCATAAGTTGTGTTGAATCCTGTACAAATGGAAACCATTGACATCTGCCATTGACATCTGATTATCATACAGACACAAATGAAATGATACTCTGAAAGACCATTTAAGAATACAGCATGGTGTTATCTAATACCCCACAATTACAAGTTTTATTATGAAAACAAAAACATTGTAATCCAAGCACATACACTAATAAATCAATTATATAACCACATTTAAAATCAGTCCAAAGTGATGTCAATATCTTTGTCTGTCATTCTTGATGACTAGCAAATGGTGTCATCATCCAAGGAGGCAAACATAAAACAAATCAATTGCAAATCTTTCAAATGATGCAGAATATCCTGAAGTCAAAATTGCTGCTGAGAAATTGCTAAGAATCACACACAGAGCCACTAATAAATAAGTGTGTGTCAGAGCTAGACCACAAATCTAGCATCTGTTCAGTAGTATTGAGATTGGGGGGGAAATCCAAATCATCATCGATCAGGATAAAGCATCCCTGAAGTTAAAATATACAAACCCTTGTCGATAAAGGATTTTATAATTCAAGTAGTTTAATGTTCATGTGCAAAGACATCACAGAGGAATTGCGATGGTTTAAAATAAATCTTCTGCAAAAAAGTACTTAAAATTTGCCTTGAATATAGGTAAAAGTAAAAATGAAGGTAAAGGCAAACAAGACAAGTCAAAAGAAAAAGAAAAAAAAATAACTAAAAAGGACCCATAAAGTAGAAATTAGGGTAGAAGAAGTCTTACGAGGTCCAACAATTGAAACATACACATTTTTCTATGCAATAAAGGCTAAATATTTTTGATTAAAAGCAGAGGAGCACCAAAGTGTTGTGTGTCAAAGAACATAAATACAAATAAAAATTCAGAAAGGCTGAATCGAAAGATTAATTTTAAACAATGCATCACTTCTTTTAAAAAACTACATAATAGGTGACAAAATAATCTGTACAACAAACCCCTCTGACACTAGTTTACCTATATAACAAACCTGCCCATGTACCCCTGAACCTAAAGTAAAAGTAAAAAAAATACTACACTACATAATAATGTGATACCATATTCTAAAAGAACTGAATAGGGACATTTGATAAGAACAAGTGAAATTAAAATCAAAAGAAGAAATAACATTTTAAATCTTAAAATGGAAAAGAGCATACCAATGAAATAGTTAAAGAAAAATCCATTTGAAATCAAAATTAAAAAGTAATCATATCATTTTTAATTACCTATATTAGCATAAAGCATATTAGATGATGATTTAGAAGCTACAGGAAGCTTAATATTGTAGAGGTCAGGCTAATGTGGTGAATTTTGCGCTTCCAAATAGGAATGTACTCTATTGTCTGCATATTCAAGGACTTTTACTAAAAGTGATTCAAAGCCACACTGATAATTTCAGTACAGTAGAAGCACAGCTTACCAAGGTCCCCTCACTTCCCTCACCCCACACTGTGGTGCCCCAAATTCAGTGTGGGATGCTTCCTTATCTGTACTTGCCCAGCCCAGGGGCTTCAGACACTGCCCAGCACCTGGTGACGCCTCCAGTCTGGACCTCTCCCCTATCTCCAGGCTCTTGCACACACTGCTTTCCTGACCTCTCCACTCCGATGTCCAACAGCGATTTCAAAATGCATCACGTCAAAAATGTAACTGATTTTCTCCAAACTTCCCCTTGCAGGGAGGGGAGACTCCTCTGCACAGCCCCAGAATCACGGAGGTCTTGATTCCTCTCCTCCTCTGCCATGCCAAGGGCCTGTAGCCCTACCAGGTGTACCCTGAATGCTGCAGCGGCCAGCTGCTGCTTCTCAGCTCCAGGGCTGCGTCCCCGGTGCTAGTGGTCCAGGCCGCAAGCACCTGCACTCATAAATCAATACTTTAACCGCATCTAAAATTAGCCCCAATTTCTTACACCCTCGTAGACTCTTGTATCTATTCCTGATCACTATGTTAACACCTCTGTATTAATGGACTAGGTAGAACTTTCAGAATAAAATGAGAGGAGGTATTTTCTTAAAAACATATCTTGTGCTTCACTCTTTTGTCCCTGTTTAGGAGACTGAATTGAAATAGATAATTCTTGTAACTGAAAAACGTTATTAGAAAAAATCCTAATTATATAACGAGTTTTACCTTTTCAGAATGTAATTTGATGAAGTTAATCTGCTATCTTACATCTGTATCAATAAGTGCAATTTTCCCATATTTTCTTGTAAATTTTTATTCTTAATTTTTATGAACATAATTGTATATATTTATATAGTTTTACTTTCAGAGATATTTTTTAAAAATTAGGTTGTGGTTTAGAATTATCCTAACGTTATGAAATTTGTTGAGAAATTACCTCTCATTTTATGTGCCAATTTTAACTAGAGACATATTACTCGCTTTTCAAAAGCCTTGTGGAAGTTACATTAAAACTTCTCTGGAACTAAATTATTTAACAATTATTTCAATTTCTTATGTGCTTTTTGAAGGATTCTATTTTTCTGTTTCTCCTTTAGAGATACTTTTAGTGAACCCAGATTATAATCCATATAATTGAGATTTTGATATTTTACCAAATATTTAAAAAGTTGCAATAGTACAAGGAATTCTATAATTTTAAATTTAGCCATACAACACTTATATCCTATTTCCTAATTTCAAAAATTTGATACTTTTCATCTTTTTATTTGACTTGTTAGAAACTATTATTTCATTGGTCAAGGAATTAGTTTTTAGGTTTCTGAATTTCCTCTATAATTTTTCTATTTTCTCATGTATTATTTTTCTATTTGTTTTGATTAACTATTGACGTCTATATCATTTTTGGACTTTTGTTTTTCTCTCCTTTGGAATCCTAGGTTTATTTATTTTTTTCCCCGTTTATGAGTGAAAATATTTAAGACAATGAATTAAAACTTGACTTGAGTTTGGGCTGTAAATCTCACAGGTGTTGACACAGTCAGGCAGCAGGTCCTGCTCTCCTGAGGAAACCAGCTCAACTGTCCTATATAAATCATATTTACTGGTTTTTAAATAGACATAGAAATTGACCCACTGTCTTAAAACTTGAAATTTATATTTGTCTTAGAACTGAGTTCCTTCCTGAACTTCAGTGGATCCCAGGATCCAGAGAATGAGATGCCACACCCCTCATCCATCAGGATGACTTTCTTACCCCACCCCGAATTGCTGTTCTCCACCTTCCCAGCTATGTGAATCCCCCAATTTTAGTCAAGGAGACAGATTTGAGACTTTATCTCCTGTTCTCCTCGGCTGTAGCACCCGGTTAAAGCCTTCTTCCCTGGCAATACTCAACTCAGTGATTGGCTCTCCATGCTATGGCCAGGAGGACCTAGGGGGAACCCCTGTGTTTCCATAGCACTGGCACCCATTTGCTATCTTCATCCTTCCTCCAGCCCAGACATGGGCAATGGCTCCTCAGCCAGCAGCCTGGACCCTTCTTCCCTCCCACACTCCATGGGACTGGCCCCAGTACTGTGGCTTCAGGGGCCACTGCAGGAACCCCTTCCTCTACCAGCCTGACAGGTTTGCAGCTGGTTCTGTGCTCAGGGTTCTTGAAGTGTGTGATGCCCCAAGGTCCTGGGAGTTGCCTCCTACCTTGGCTGGCCCCACACCCACAGTCGTGCTAACCCTCTGCAGGAAGAAATGCTTTCTCCACCATCACACCTAAGGGGGATTGCTCTCCACTGCTTTCTGTTCTTAGCAGAAGACAATCCGAAGCCAGCATGACTTTTACATCTTTGTTGAATACTTGTTTTCTTTATTCTAGAAATTCAAACATTCACTAGGGTATGTCTATGAATTAGGCTCTGTTCATTGATTTTAACTGATACTTGGTGGATCATTTCAAATTTGTGTTCAATTAGAAACTTTAAAGCCAAAATTTGTGTTCATTGTCTTTGATCTGTTCTGATGTCTGTTTGAGGAAGTGCAGCTATCGGAAGGTGAAATTTCCTCTTTTTCTGTCAATTTTTCCCATTTTATTTTTACATTGTTTTATCATTTCCACAACTTTGGAAGAACATGCCTGAGCTAATGTCCTCATCAATCCTATGTGTGCAGCTAATGTTTTACACTGTGATTTTTGAACATTGGCCAATATGATTTTAATTTTTTCTTGAGCTTTCCTAATCTCCCTGAGTTAGTTTAAATCTAATGCCATGGATATATCATTATTTTTAATGTTTATTTTGAGAACATAATTCACCTTTTTTCCAAATTGTTTTTCCTATTTTTTTAGTACATTTATTTCAGACGAAGCCATTTTTATATTTAAGCTTATTTCTTGAGTCAATATTGCAGCTTGCTAACTCGGCCTGGTTTGTTCTCCATGGCAGTGCCCTGGATTCGCCTATTCTGGCCCCTGCTCTGGAAAGACGCCTCCCTGGGTTAGGTTCCGCTTGGCAGGTTCGGGTCAGTCGACTTCATTGCCTGCTTCTCCTCAAGCTCAAACCTGCATAAAGGTCTGACAGCTCCCTGCGCCTTCCTCCTCATTTCCCCTCAAAGTTGTTTCTTTTGGGAAATCTCTGGCCCATTTCATCTGGTCTTGGCTTCTCTGTCTCAAAGGACCCAGACAAGCTCAGGGAGGAAGAGGGAATGTTAATCCAGGTAGCAAGCAGGCGGGGCCAGGGCAGAGATGAAATGGAGACAACACGGAGGCGATTGACAGGGAGCTTTGAGGCTTTCTGTGGATTTATTCTCCAGAAGAGTTTAAGATAGAGGAAAATTCAGATCAAAACAACAACAACAACAACAACAAAAACAAAAAAAACCCAAAAACACAAAAAATAGAAGATGTAGTTGAAACTTATAAATGACTTGAATTTCCTTTTAGAAAAAAAAGTTGGGAATCAGATTCTTTTAAATACAATTTTGTCTGTGCTTCTTGTGTGGCCTTAGGAAGGTTACACATTGATCTCTTCAATTGACACCCAGAGGTGCAGAAGCCAAAAGCTCACCAGGGATGAGACGTAGTGTTTACCTCTCTCCCTGTCTCTCTCCCTGCCTCCTTTCTGTACTCACTATCTCTGTCTCTCTCCTTATCTCTCTTTGTTACTCCCTGTGTGTCTCTCTCTGTCTCTCTCTCTGTGTGTCCCTCTGTCTCTCTTTTTCTCTGTCTCTCCTTATCTGTCTCAGTCTCTCTTCCTTCCTCTCTTTCTCTTTACAGTGAAAATCTAAATTCCATATAGGATGTATATGGAAAAAGACTAAAAGAGAAGACAAAATAAAGACAGTGGATGGTTTATTGACGTGAAATACTGATATGTTTTTCTTTTTCTAATTTGCTTTTTATTGCCATGTGCTAACATTATAAAGTGAGGAAGGCTTAGCAGAACAAAGAGAAATAGCCAAGAATCTCTCTTCCTCCTCCTAATTGAAAACTCTGGACAACTTCCATGTAAACAAAAAAGTGTTACTTCCACTAGTTTTGTTCTCTTTTAAATTAATAAAAGAAGAGAACAAATATTGATTATATCACCAGTTTTTTTCTCAAGTATTATGGCACATATAAATCTATGTTTATACATCATTTTTTGTTTTAAATAATTTTTAAAACAAAAATTTATGAGCAACTGTTAAGCTGGCAGATGGCGCTTGGGTGCTTCTCTAAAAGCTGTTTTCATTTTTTCTTAGGCTTATAAAATAATACGAAAATGTAATTTATTTTCAAGACAAATTTAAAAAAAGGAAAGGAAAATTTTAATTAATTGGAAATTGAGTATACCTAATATTTGTCTCTTTTATTAAAAAATCTATGAATTCAACTTCAGAAAAATATCTGTTTAGTAGTACAAACATAAGTTATGAATTATTTTAATTATTATTATATACAAAGTGATTTCAATCTATATTTTAAAAGAGATGAATTAAAGAGATGAATTGCCTATCAAAAGCCTATTTAGAGTTATTCTACTAGAAATCTAACCAAACCAAAGACTTTTAGGGAAAACTAATATATTCTGAAATAATATTGTAGTGGTTTGAGACAAGCAAGGCACAGATAGATGGGAACAAGACTATTTCAAAGAAACGATACAGCACACATTTTGTGGGGCTAATAACACATATCTTGAGCTTCCTCCTGATTAGTTTCAACCCAAATAAGTAAGGCCACAGTCAAAAGAGACAGGACGTTTTGTGCATGGGTAGAGGTGAGGTAGGGTTAGGCACAATTAGTGCTCTCTCTCTATTTTTTAAACTTTCTATTAAATCATTCATTCCAGACTCCCCTATGACCACAAATATAATTTCAGTGCTGTTTTTTTGAATTTCTCAAGTTCCACAAGCTGTATTGTTAGATGGGTGGAGTCTCTTATAGGCCAGCAGCACTCTAAAGATTTAGCTGGTTGATGAAACAAATGGAACAAAAGAACTGGAAAGCTGGGACTGAGGCAACCTGAACAGGACTCTCCTCCTCTCGGCTCAAGCTCAGTCAGCTTCACCTCCTGAGCCTAGTAGCCCCGAAGGCTCAGGACAACTGAATACAAGTCAAACGCAAACCTGGCCTCTCAGGCTGAGAGAACTGAGGCCAGGAATGGAGGACAAGATAGGGCAAGATATTGGCCAACAGAGAATGGACCAAGGGACCCAAGAAAGGATGAAACATTTGAATAAATCACTTATTGTACAAAGGATGGATTGAAAGCTTACTCTTTAAAAAAGCACACCAAAGCCAGATAAACTGATGATTACATCATGCCACCCTGAACGTGCCCAATCTTTTCTGTAAGAGAACCTTTAATCCTAGTAGTATTTACAGTATTCCATGTCATAGGCAAAAATGAAGAGCTTCCCGTGGCATAATGAAGCCATGTAAACTTCAATACCAATGCCACAAATGCCTATGTATACATGTGCCATGTTGGTGTGCTGCATCCGTTAACTCGTCATTTACATTAGGTGTATCTCCTAATGCTATCCCTTCCCCCTTCCCCCATCCCACAACAGGCCCCGGTGTGTGATGTTCCCCACCCTGTGTCCAAGTGTTCTCACATGTACCCTAGAACTTAAAGTATAATTAAAAAATAAATAAATAAATAAAAATAAAAAATAGAAATGATAAAAAATCACAATTTATAAAAATTGATGAAAAATATAAAAATCTGAATAGCCCGATATCTAATAAAGAAGCTGAATTTGAATCCATAATAAAAAATCTTCCCACAAGGAAAACTCCAGGTCAAAAACAAAACAAAAGAAAACAAAATGCTACAAATGCCTAACAAACATGGTAACATGAAAGAAACCCAAAGTTATCTATAAATTCAGATAAAAATTTTAAAGGAAAATACATAGAATTCAGCATCATGCGTTAAAAATACAAAATGATATATTAAGAAATGCAAGTGTGGTTCTATATATGGAAATGTGTCAACATGTTTTATAGCCACACATATAAGAGAAAAACCATTATCATATGAAGAAGTAAAAAAGACACTGATAAAATTTAGCAGATACTCTTAGTAAAATATTGCAAAAGCAGAAAAAGTTTTTAAATGAAACAAAAACACTTTGTCAAAATCTAACGGGAGTTATTATTCCAAATCATGATGTACTAAAATTATTTCAATTAAAATTTTAGTTGGGAGAAAATGATGCTCCCTCTGGTCATTACTATTTTCTTGAAACTTGAAGCCTGTAAAACAATAAAACAGAGAGAAGAATGAAATTGCTTCAATAAACACTGGAAAACCTGTGATGAATCTCATCTGTGATGCTGCTGGTAAGACTGCATACCCAGAAAACCAAATAACTTTCTGAGGTTTTAAAATAAGTACATAAAAAGGGAAATGAGAAAAATATCCACTGACAATTGTGATCACACCTAAAATTATAAGAATAAAATTAGCCAAGATAGCAAAGGGCCTATTTAAAAAAATAACCATGGAAAGAAATAAAACAAGAACCAAAGAGAAAGAATTACTATGTACTAGGATGGAGAGATTAAATATCACAAAAACTGCAGTACAAGGCCTTCCAGTTGGGGTTGGGACAGAGTTGCCTGTGAATGCCACGAGCTTTGGGTCAGGACCCAGAAGTGCTGCGTTCTGGAACTAGGAGTGAAACAGAAGTGGACAGGCCCTACCATGGACTAACGCTCAACTTGATTTGGTGATTCTGCATTCTATTATATGCCATGCTTGGTGGTTCCAGGTTGTATTACATGGCATGCTGTCTGGTACCTGCACATATAAACCCTCTCCGGATAAGATAATGGCATCTTTAGTCTCAAATCATTCCTACAAACATTTGCTAAAAGAATATCCAGCAAATAATAAAAATTAATAAACACATGAGATCAGACAAGAATAAAAACAGCAGACTAAAGCATAATTGCTCTAGAGATTGAAATTATCTGACAGAATTTCAATTAGATTTGCTCACTATATTCAATAAGATAAAAGACAAAATTAGGAATTTAGGCAGAGAACTGAAAACTATAGAGAATCAAGTGGAAGTTCTAAAACCAGAAATATAGTCGTTGACATTAAGAAGGCAGTGGAGATAAATAAGAAAAAGCAGAGACCTTTGAGGATTGAGGGAATGAACTGCCGGATATTAAGAAAACATCCAGTGGAGTGGAGCACAAAGAGACAAAAATTTAAGAATATGGAGAATACACAGTGACATAAAGAATATCGTGGGAAGACCTAACCCAGGGCTTGGCAAACTTTTCTGTAAAGGGACAAACAGTAAATATTCCAGACATATTAGACTATCCAGTTTTTGGAGCAAACTGAGCTCTTCTGTTGCAGCAGGAAAAAGCCACGCCTGGTACATAAACAACTGTAGCTGTGTTCCAACATGTCTTTATTCACAAAAGCAGGCATGGTTGCCCACACCTGGTCTAACCCATGTGAAATTAAAATATCAGCAGTACAGGAGAAAATCGTGCATGAGCAATTTTTTAAAAGATTATGGCAGAGAACTTATCAAAGACATTGAACCACAGATAAGAGAAACCAGGAGGAAAAATAAAAACTAATAATAATATACAACTTGGAATGTCATTATATAATAAAACTGCTGGAACAAAAACAAAGGAGCAAAAAGTAGACCGAGCGTTGAGAGCTGGGAGTCAGGAGACAGTGAAAAAATACCTTCAGAGTTTTGAAAGAAAATAGTCAAAGCAGAGGTAGGTATTGAGCAAATACATTATTTAAGAATTAAAGGAAAATACAGACAGTTTCAAATAAACAAGTACTGAGAAAATTCACCACTCTCAGGTCTTTACTAAAGGAAATACTACAGGGTAATCTTCAGGCAGAAAGAAAAGTTTCCCAGAAGGAGCTTGGAGAGGCAGAGCCACACAATCATAAATATGTGAGCAGATCTCAGTGACTGCTGTCTGCAGAAAACCACAATATTAACATATTGCAGTGTGCTGTGTTTAAAATACAAGGAACGAATATATGTGAAAGAGAAGGAGTGTGAGAGGGAGTGTTTGGAGGTAAGGTGATCTGAAGCCTGAGTGTGGCCCAGGCTGTGGGTAGAAGCACCAATTAACATTAACATTTACGTCAAGGGGACAGACTGCAACAGCTGGAGCGGTCACTGAAAAAAGCCAGAAAACTTCTGAGCTCACAGATGAGGAAAGCTGAATAAAAGACCATCAGTCATCCAAAGATATCAAGAAAGGAGAAGATTATTTAACCCAAATGATATGGCACTAAACCCCAAAATGACAGAACCTATGTTTTTCAACTAGACCCAAAACATTTTGCCCAGATGCAAGGTCAGGAAGATGATGACAAAGTGGCAGTTGCTTAACAGTGTGGTGGGGAAATGGTAGCAGTAGCCTTGGAGACTACTCCTTATTTCAAATAATAATAATGACAACAATAATAATATGGCTTAGATAAAAGCAGCTGACACCTGAAAAGTGAGTGGCTCTCCAGAGTGTAAAAGTTAGGACTAGATGGGAGGGCTCCTGACACCCAGTTCATGACTCTCGGGGTACCACAACAGGTAAATCATCATCAGATAAATCACAGCATTTACAGACCAAATTTGGTCCATCCATGAGTCTGGACTTCAGTCATGGAAACAATCATAAAAAAAAGGAAGACAAAGGATGAAATAGGTAAGCAAGTGACCAAATAACTATATATATATATATATATATATATATATATATATATTTTTTTTTTTTTTTTTTTTGAGACAGAGTTTCTTACTTGTTGCCCAGGCTGGAATGCAATGGTGTGATCTCAGCTCACTGCAACCTCTGCCTCCCAGGTTCAAGTGATTCTCTTGTCTCAGCCTCCCAAGTAGCTGGGATTACAGGCGTCTGCCACCACGCCCAGCTAATTTTTGTATTTTTAGTAGACACGGGGCTCCCCCATGTTGGCCAGGCTGGTCTTGAACTCCTGACCTCAGGTGATCGACCTGCTTCGGCCTCCCAAAGTGCTGGGATTACAGGCATGAGCCATTACGCCCGGCCCCAAATAAATATTTTTGAGCACTGAGACTATGTGTCAGGAAAGAGATACGTGTCTTCCAATGTATTTTCTCACTTGATTCTCACACCACTACAGCATCTTTCCTTGCAGTCTCTTTGGGCATCAGCTGTAATCTGGAGGAGACTGACGGTCAAGTAGAGTGCCCTGCACCCCAAGACTGTCCTAAGGAATAAATGTGGCTGAATATATTTGAATCTTGAAGACCTGTCAAAAGAAATTGGGCAAAGACACTGACAGGAGTGCATCAAAAGGATCCCACTGATAAATTTAGACTTTGTTTTAAGTCATCTCGGTGCGTTGTGTCATATTCTTTAGATATGAAGGCTGAGCAAATAAAGCAACTCCACGACTGTAATTAAGAGAATCATTTTCAAGCTAATTATGCCATATTTATTCATACCAAATAAAACTGTGTTGACAGGTAATGATTGAATACAGATACAGGCTGTCAGGAAAAAGGAGGAGGAAGGGGGATCTTAAAATAGGGTAAAATGTCAAGTCTTCTAAAAAACAACAAGGCAATTCTTCCCTTGATCTCTTTCCTGGAGCTGCTCTTCGTTAATGCTCACAGAGTTTCTCCAAGTAGGTATTTAATTGAAGTACTAAATTAAATATGAATCATGTCAGCAGCATATCCCTGAATACAACTTGAGAATTATAATTATAGATGAGTTTGTGGTCTTAAAAGAGCTTTTACATACAGTTAATTATTTTCAAAACTCTAGGAGACAGGTGCTGTTTTCCCACACTATAGATGTGGAAACGAAGGCTCATAGATATTGACTTGGCCAGTCTTGTCAACCACAAAGTGGAAGGCAGAAAAATAAAAATTGGGTCTTTTAAATGAAAAGCATTTTTCACCAAACTAACTACAACTTCTCCCTATAATGAAAATTTACCTATATTTTCAAATTATCTTGGACAAAACATTTCGGTATCTTACTATCTGGACGTGATTTACCCAACCTGTGTCTCTTAAAGGTTACCAAGTTCTTATACAGCCAAGACAGCCTTCCATATAATTCCTGGTCTGTATTTTGGATCCTTTCTTTAGGATTAGCTTCCAGAAGTACAAACTTCAAACCACAAACTCTGAACAATTTTGATACTTGATACACAGGTCAAGTGATTTTTGAGAATATTGCCTGGGTCCATATTCACAGTACAGAATAAGTGTGCCAGCACAATGCAACACCAATTTCTTCGACTCATTCTTCCAGCCACTATGTATTAAACACCACTATTTATTAGATATCATAGTCGATGCCAGGGACAAAGTGGTGAGAAACCAAGCAGGATTCTCTTGCTCATGGAGCCTGCAGCCAGTAGCAAAAAGGAATAATAATACCAATACTAACAATAAATGGTTACTTTTTGGTTGCACTACTATGGCATTGTTTTAAGGGCTAAATATACAGCCTGTTAAACAAAGTAATTCTCATGCCACTCCATCAGACACTGTTATTACCCTCATTGCAAAGAGGAGGAAAGTGAGAGTCAGTGGGGCAAAGTGACCAGCCAAGGCCACAGAGCTGATACTGGAAGGCGGTGGGTTTCCACCTAGCAAAGCACAGCAGCTGCACCCCTGACCACCTTTCACTTATCAATCATGCAAAAGGACTCCAGCCACACACCAAGGACACTGGCTCTCCTCCAGCTTCCCCAGCTCAGCACAGAGACTCCACATTGTGAGTGAACTGACCTTCAAATACTTTTTTTTTTCCTATTTTTAAAAAATATATGTAACATGACATTTATTCCTGTTTTTTTTTTTTTTTTTTTTTTTTTTTTGAGTCAGAATCTCACTCTGTTACCCAGGCTGGAGAGCAGTGGTGTGATCTTGGCTCACTGCAACCTCCATCTCCTGGGTTCAGGCGATTCTCCTGCCTCAGCCTCCTGAGTAGCTGGGACTAAAGGCGCATGCCACCATGCCCAGCTAATTTTTGTATTTTTATTAGAGACGAGGTTTCACCATATTGGCCAGGCTAGTCTCGAACTCCTGACCTTGTGATCTGCCTGCCTCGGCCTCCCAAAGTGCTGGGATTACAGGCATGAGCCACCGTGCCCGGCCAATTTTTACTATTATTTATGTTGGAAGCTCTTTTTTTTTTCACAGAAACAAGTTCATAAACTGTTTCCAGTTCTTTCTGCAAAATTTCTTTTATCCATTGGAAACGATGAAACTATTTCAAAGACACCTCTGCACAATTTAAAACTGACTTATGTGGGTAATTACAATTCCAAGAATCTCACTCTCTCATACAAATAGGAAGAACCAACAGGCAGGTTCTGGCCATACTCTCTGAATTCTGAATTAGGGAAGAGGGGCAGGAATCTTTACTGAAGTAGGAAAAGGATAGACAAGTGAGACGTGAGGCTCCTGGTCTCTCATCACCTCACAGTCCTATAGCAAAGGTGCCCCAACTCAAGGCCTGCTAGTGGAGTCTTTCTATAATAATTTTATAAGTAAAGGTTACAGCAATTTTATAAATTCCAGAAAAGAAAAAGGAAGAACATAAATACCCCCAATCCTGTCACCTAAACCTAACAGCTATATTTCTCTCTTTCTCTCCATGTATATATATACATACACACACACACACACACACACATATATAGTCATGCGTCATGTAACAACGAGGATACATTGTGAGAAATGTGATGTTTTGTGATCTTGTTGTTATGTGAACATCAGAGGGTGCACTTGCACAGACCTAGATAGTACAGCCTTCTACACACCTAGGCTGTACGATATAGCCTATTGCTCCTAGGCTACAAACCTGCACGGCATGTTCCTGTACTGAATACTGTAGGCAGCTGTTACACAATGGTAAAGATTTGTGTATCTAAACATATCTAACCATAGAAAAGGTAGAGTAAAAATGCAGTATTGTAATTCTATGGGACCACCATCCTATGTGCAGTCTATAGTTGACCGAAATGTGGTTATGAGGCACATGACTGTGTGTGTGTGTGTGTGGGTGTGTGCATGTATATAGTTTCACTTTTTCAAAACCTTGGCTACAACACATAGAGCAAGGGCATCCTTTGCCCACCAACTCCAGTCCCGTCCTTACTCCTTCCTCAGGGAAAGCCACTAGCAAAATATGCCATGTATGCTATAGTGTGTGCATATGCTAAACACACACACACACACTCCAAACAATATAATGCATTGGTTTTCTTTGAATTTGCAATAAATAAATGTATCATACTAATACTGTTTCATCTTTTTTTTGTTGTTTTTTTTTTTTACTTAATTATATGTTTTGACATTTCTCCATGTTGGCATAAATATAAATGCTGTGTAGTAGTACATTATATGAATATTCCATAATTAATTAATCCATTTTTCTCTTGATGGCCACATTCAGCCTGTTTCTATTTTGTATTTTTGGTCATTAATAACAATGATTTAACAAATATACATGTTGAAGTTTCCCTGTATAAAATGCATGAGAGCATCTCTTTATCAACCCACAAGCAAAAATTCATGATTACTGCATAATGCCTGGCTATGCACATTTACAATTCTAAAATATACTGGCAAACTTTTTTCCAAAGAAGTCCTTCCAACTCATGCTCACACCAGCTGTGTGCACCATCATTTCTTTACACTCTAGCCAACCGCTGTGCAATGGTCTGAATGTTTGTGCCCCCCAGATTTCATATGTTGAAATGTTAACCCCCTAGGTGATGGTATCAGGAGGTGGTGACTTGGGCAGGTGATTAGTTCATGAGGGTGGAGCACTCATGGTGGGATTAGTGCCATTATGAAAGAGGCCCAAGAGAGCTCCTGCTCTCCCTCCATTACAAGGTGGACATAGGGAGAAGGGGCCATCCATGAACCAGGAAGCAGGCCCTCACCAGGCACTGAATCTGCAGGCCTCTTGATATTGGACTTCCAGCCACCAAAACTGTAAAAAATAAATGTCTGTTGTCTACATTTCATCCAGTTCATGTATTTTGTTATAGCAGCCCGAACAGACCAAGACAAATTGTTACTCTCAAATTTCTTTTTTCTCTTCAAATTACTGGGTAAGAATTTGCTTTCGTTTGTATTGTTTTGCAGTTCCCTGAAAACTACTAAGGTTGAACATTTTTTCTTCATATCATTCTTGTCATCAGTACTTCTGGTTCTGTTCCTTCTCATTTCTCAGATTTTTTTATTAATTATTTAGAGAATTATTTATTTGGATACCAAATTCTTATTTTTTTCTTTCTTTTTTTTTTTTTTTTTTTTTTGAGACAAAGTCTTGCTCTGTCTCCCAGGCTGGAGTGCAATGGCATGATCTCGGGTCACTGCAACCTCTGCCTCCTGGTTTCAAGCGATTCTCCTGTTTCAACATCCCAAGTTGCTGGGATTACAGGTGTGTGCCACCACACCGGACTAATTTTTTTTTTTTTTTGTATTTTTTGTAGAGACGGGGTTTCACTATGTTGGCCAGGCTGGTCTGGAACTCCTGACCTCAGGTGATCCGCCCACCTTGACCTCCCAAAGAGCTGGGATTACAGGTGTGAGCCACTGCGCCCAGCCCCAAATTCTGATCTTCATGGCTTTTATTGTATCTTATTGTGGAAATATATGGTAGTTTTTTCCTGTTTTGTATTTTTTTGTGTATCTTAAAATTTTCATTCCCCGTAAGCCATAGATTCTTACTCACAGATATTGAATCTTACTTTTTTTCCCTACACTTAGAGTTTTAAACCACCTAGGATTTATTTTTGCATATACTATGAGGTAGTGATCTAATCTAATTTTTTCTGTGTAAACCCAATTTTCTTGACACCATTTCTGTCATTGTTCCCGGCACATCTAACTTGACACTTGGTGGACACATTAAATCCAAGACCTTTCATGTTTTAACTTTTTTCTCAAAAATCCTCAGTCACTGTCTCTTCAACAGTAGCCCCTCTGTCTCTCCACCTCCACCCCCAGCGATGTCACTAATTCTCTCCTTAAATGTGACCAATCAACTGGATTTTTAGTTTCAATGATCAAATATTTTTCACTGGGATATTTTTAATTGCTTTCCATATGTTAACTACAGGTTTCTGTTTCATAGTATACTGTTCTTTAAATATATATTATTCATCTACTTAGTTTTGTTTAGTTTATTAATTTTTTTCTATATATTACTTCATCATTCTTTCTTGTCTCCCCTTATTCTTCCTACCCTCCCTCCCTCCCTCTCTTTCTCGGTGTGTGTGTGTGTGTGTGTGTGTGTGTGTGTGTGTGTGTGTGTGTGTGTTTATATACACACATATACATACAAAAAACATTATATATGCACATATGTATGTATATGCATACATGTACATGTATGTATGTCTTTGATTGGGTGTATAATTTCCCTTAAATGTAATTACAAAATGCATGCTGTTTTCCAAGGACAATATTTTTAAAACAAACCATTTATTTGTTTTGATTTTTTTCCTTACCTGATCTAAATCCCCTGCCCAACATTTGCACAGAACAACAGTATCATCCTAGTATGTTTCTTTCCATGACATTCCATTCTCATATCACAATGAATAAAAACCATAGAGGTTTTTGTTTTTCTCAATGCTTCTTGTAGGAAAAATGAGATACTAATCAATTTTTCTGTCATTCGTTTTTCTGCTTAAAGACACATAATGGAAACCCCACCAAGCCAACTCATCTGTAACAAAGTCACTGATTTAGTCACTGTGTATTAGCTCATGAATGTATACAGTATATTTTATTCTGCCATTTCATTACTGATGAGTTTTCACCATAATTTCATATTTTCTTATTAAAAGCAATGTTATAATAAAGAAAACCATGGGATATACCTTAATGCGCAGGGGTTTTAATTGCACAGTGCTTCAGGGAATCCGACTTGGATCAAAAGGTCCATGAAATTTCAGTTTTAGGCAAAAATGCCCAATTTTTTACATGGAAGGCTGTAAGAAGCCTCATTAAGATACCAACAATAGATATTATTATTCGTTTTTATTTTTACCACTTGAATTTTGCTATAAATTGATATCTTATTCCTTTATCACCTTTTGTATTTATGAAATACTACTTTGAAGTCCTTCTTGGATGGCTCCATTAGCTCTCCATTCTTAGGGTTGAATTCTCCAATTTATTGGTTCTGTGGAATACTTTTCATGGTTTTGCATTTTTTAGCATGTTTTACCATTTTGATTATCAACTCATTGTGCAAAGGGGTCTTCTTCTAAGAGAGTTTATCATATTTCCTGGAGCAGTTCCGTAGTCATTTTGCCTAGGTTCTATGGAGTTCACCTGTTATTAATATGTTTTGTTGATGGTTTCTTGAACTGGGATTCTCCCACAAGCATCAGTATAAATGAGGTACACAGTCTATATTCCTTTTTTGTGGATGACTCTTTTCCAATCATGCATTATCATGCAGGTTGCATTTTCAGCAGTGTGGATTAGTGAGGAGAAACTTTGTTGTCTACTCATGATAACGTCATGGTTTCCCAACTCTTCTTTCAGAAGGGGAGCCCTTTTCGGCCTTCCTGATGCACATGTGAGCTATAGCCTCAGCTTCCCTGTGCAGGTGTGAAAATCCTACTCGTAAGACATGCCCTGTATTCAGCTGTGTAAGTGCCAGTCACCACTCCCACTTACTCACCTCTTAAAATGTTTAGTTTTATATTCAGAAAAAGATAGAAATCTTACAGGTTGGTAAAATTTACTTATCTATACACTAATGCATCTACCACCCCAATCATAATATAGACAATTTTTATTTTTTTATTTTTTTGAGACGGAGTCTCACTGCGTCACCCAGGGTGGAGTGCAGTGGCGCAATCTTCGCTCACTGCAAGCTCCACCTCCTGGGTTCACGCCATTCTCCTGCCTCAGCCTCCCGAGTAGCTGGGACTACAGGCGCCCGCCACCATGCCCAGCTAATTTTTTGTATTTTTAGTAGAGACGGAGTTTCACTGTCTTAGCCAGGATGGTCTTGATCTCCTGACCTCGTGATCCGCCCACCTCGGTCTCCCAAAGTGCTGGGATTACAGGTATGAGCCACCGCACCCAGCGAAAATGTTTTCACTCCAGGTTTCCTTGTGTCCCTTCCCAATCAGTACTACACTTCTGTCTTCTACCACCATAGATCGGTTTTCCTGTTCTTGAATTTCAACTAAACAGAATCATATAGTATGCACTATTTTGTTCCAAGTTTCTTTTATTCAGCATAATATTTTGAGACAACCACATCTTCTATATATCAAGTAGTCATTCCTTTTGACATCTGCTGTATGAATAGGCCACAGTTTGTTAATCCATTCTTTTCTGAATGGGTACCTAGTAAGCTTCCCGTTTTGGATTACTATGAAAAAACATATATGTACATTTTATAAATGTAGTTTGTGGCCGTGCACATCCAATTCTCTTGGATGTTTGCTGGTCATAGTGTAGACATAGATTTAAGTTTGTCACATCAACTTACAAGCAGTCCAGTGGCTTTACATCCTTGCCATTCCTTGCTATTGGCAGGTTTCTTAATTTTAACTATTCTGGTGACAAACAGATCCTTTTTTAGGACTATTTTTTAATTCCTTAGCCAAAAGGTTAAAATAAGGATTTCAATCTTTGCAAAAGGATCAGTATAAAAATATAAAACATATAAAGCTTAGAAATATCATGATACAGCAACCATAGCACCTACTTTTGTAATATACAAGATAATTTTTTCCCTATATCCGATTTGCTACCCTAGTGTAGGCTTTGATTTGTTAAAATCGTTGCTTTGTTTGAAATAGTCCTTCCTCCCCTTCTCCTCCTGGCCAGATGAACCCACCCTTTCAGACCTTGTTCAGTATTACTTCCTCTAATATTCTCCCCCAGATTCCTGGGTGGAGGAATTATTTCCTCCATTCATTCACTGTGTATTTTGCAAAGGCTTAATTTATAACAATTATCTCATGGAATTATAGTCAATGTCTGCCTCTTCTCCCAAGCTGTAGGATACCATGTTTTATTCATATTTGTGCCCTCAACCTTACTGTAGTGTTTAAGCACATAACTAGTGTTCCATGAATATTTATGGAAAAAAAAAAGGAAGTGTAAATGTTTCCTCACTTGTACGGGTTTCAAAAATTCCCTACAACTCAGAAAGATAAACAACTAATATTTTCTTAATTCATAGCTTATCCCTTCAGAAACCGTACTCTGGAAAATTGTACATATATTTGACACAAGAAAACTTCTTTCCATATAACTATTTTTAAAGATCTCCCAGGCCAGGTGCAGTGGCTCATGCCCGTAATCCCAGCACTTTGGGAGGCCGAGGCAGGTGGATCACTTGAGGTTAGGAGTTCAAGACCAGCCTGGCCAACATGGTGAAACCTTGTCTCTACAAAAATACAAAAAAATTAGCCAGGCATGGTGGCACACGCCTGTAATCCCATCTACTTGGGAGGCTGAGGCAGGAGAATCACTTGAACCCAGGAGGCAGAGGTTGCAGTGAGCCAAGATCGTGCCATTGCACTTCAGCCTAGGTGACAGAGCAAGACTTCATCTAAAAACAAAACAAAAAACTCCCTACATGAGATCATTACATTTAAATGTTGCAAATTAATGCTTAGAAAAGTTAAACATACATGTAGAACCATATGATGAAAATCCACATATGGGAACATTTTGAGGTACTTTTTCTAATTCTATGTGATTTAGGTATTTTTATAAAATACAGTACATATACTCCCCAGGTAGACATGGTGGCTCTGAATTAGATGTGCTTCATCTCACAAATACTAAACAAATGTATCATCACTGATTTATGATCAAGGAAATGAACCATCAATACTTTGAAATATCTACAAAATTGACTTGGCTAAAGAGGTTTAAAACAAGTCTCGGCTTTAAAAGAAACAGCGTATATTTCCTATTAATGAAACCTAAATTATTCCAAGTTCTTAGGAAACAGCATCTATTAATGTTACACAAAAACACCAAAATACAGTCACTGTAGGGTGAATGAATCATTCACTTGGGTTTTCCTCACTTATAATGTAATTTTCCTTGGACAGGCACAGTGGCTTATGCCTGTAATCCCAGCACTTTGGGAGGCCGAGGTGGGTGGATCATTTGAGGTCGGGAGTTTGAGACCAGCCTGGTCAATATGGTGAAACCCCATCTCTACTAAAAATACAAAAATTAGTCAGGTATAGTGGTATGCACCTGTAATCCCAGCTACTTGGTAGGCTGAGACAGGAGAATTGCTTGAACTTGGGAGGCGGAGATTGCAGTGAGCCGAGATTGCACCATTGCACTCCAGCATGGGCAACAGGGCAAGACTCCACCTCAAAAAATAAAATAAAATAATAAAATAAAAAATAGAAAATAATGTAACTTTCCTTAAATAAAAGGCTGCTGTAGGCAGCCCTGAGAGATACCAGCAGGTCTTCTGCTGTTTGTACTTTTGTAGCCATGTAATGGGATCGTGGCTGACTGACAGGTGAGCCTTGGGTCCAGAATTCTCCTCTCTCTTCAGCCAGGGCCTCGCAGGTGCTAGAGTTCAGGAGGGTGAATGCCTCAGATGTCTCCTGTGCCTCCAGCACCACACAGCACCTGTGTCCTCTGTGTAGCCTTTAGTTACCTGTTCAGTCTTTTATTTTTAACAGAACAAGAAGACTATGTCAGCACATGAGACATACTGTGTTTGGTATGGTGCACCCTTTCTTAACATTTTCCTTCGCTTGGGAGGCCCACCTCCGCCTCTCAGTTGACCTGTACTCCTTCCCTTACTTCGTCCTCCAGATCTGTCCTCTCTGTGCTAGGGAGCAGCTGCTGACACTGAATATGTAAATGTAAGGACGGCCTTTCTGAGTTTCTCATGCTTCTTCTTTTCTGGCAATCTTCAGGAATGAAAAAATCTTTAAGTATATTTTTAGTGATAGTTTGGTCAATATCATATTCCTATGGCATTGTTAAGGGATATGGACAAAGTTTCGATCTCTTTAGATGAAGTTGACTGAAAGGGAAAGGCCTTCCTTGCAGGCTAGTCTGTGTGTGTTGTTCTCTCGAGAGGCTCCCCACATAGCTGCAGGACCCCCAGGGAGACATTTGGCTATTTACATTTCTTGAGCCATCTGTCTCTCTAACGAGATGGTTACAAAGATAATGAGATCAGTCCTGAATTATCCCGGCTGTAGTTTAAAGTTTCACTTATGATTTTGCTTCTATCGAGAAGAGGACACAGGTGGGCTTCTGGGTCTGTGTGTCCTCAGAAGAAGGTGGCTTTGCTGTGCTGCTGCTCCAATGGAGCCATTTCAGGCATGTTCCCGCCTCAGGCATGCCTCGGGTTGTCTGAGTTGAAAGGAAGCAAATGTAGATCCAATTCAGCAAATACAGGAACCTAAATGCCATAAAGGGAAGCTGCGCTTTGTGTAGAATTCCAGCCTACCCAGCTGTGGACCATCATCCTCTGAAGCAGATGCTTGTATGTTACTGCCTCTTTCTAGTAATGCACCACAATCCTGCAAATGAGGCACCTGTGATAGATGTCAAAACTGACCATCTTTTGTGACAGGATGTTGCATTTCATCCCATCAAGAAGGAGGCTGTTTTCCGTCTTTTCTGAGTCACATGGGCAAGCCCGAACTCGAAAGATTCAGGGCTTGCCCGTGTGACCTGCTTTGACTAACGAACCCTTAGCAAATGTAATGCAAGCAGAGGCTTGCAAAGGGCTTGCCTGCAGGGTTTGGCTCACTACTGCACTCGCAAGCCTGAGACCACCACAGGAGAGCCCTAAGTGAGCCTGCAGCATTAGTTTCAGGACAGAGTGTAAGGCAGGGGTTAGAAAAGCAATGAGGGAAGAACGCCAGTCAGGACAGGAAAAGTGGCAACCAGTGTTAGGCCATAGCAAGACACCTGGCACAGCTGACAGCTAGAGGATCTTGAAAAAAGCATACCCAGTGAACACATCTGGCGAAGGGTCTATTGGTTCTCCCAGCTGGGTCTGATAAGATAAGCAAGTGAGAAACAATCCAAAGAAGGAATTGTTTGGCTTAGAAGCAGAATTTAGAGGCGATATGAAGGAGCCAGGACTTGCTGGATGGAAGAATGAAACCGTTTCACATTTCTAATCTCTCCACTGGCAAAAGATTCTCAAAGGAAGGAAGAAAATTTAAAAAAAGAAAAAATGATAAAAGCAAGGTATGGCTGTAAAAGTCTTTTATTAAAACCTAAGCAATTTAAGATGGTGCCGAGTAGACTTTCTCAACTGGACAAATGGGCTTGTAAGAATCTTAAGGACATTGTTCCACTGAACCATGAAATGTTGCCCAAAGTAGAGAGACATCCGGACTTTGAGACTGAGGTTGCATGGAATGAGCATTCTGGGTGCTGGGATAAGGTTGATATATCTTGCAAGTTGGAGGTGGGTGGATCAGGAGGCTGGCTTGTTACCATAATAGACCTCTGTGTTTGGGTCTGCCCTTCTGAAGGCACACCCTTAGGTGTGACTTTCACTTGACATGTGACTTGCTTTGGACAATGGGACTACAGCAAGTGATATACAAACAGAGTCTCAAAAATACTTGCATATTGGAGTTTGCCCTCTCTTGATGCTTTTTGGAGTCCTAAGCCCACTATGTGGAGGATTATGAGTTAGCTTATGGGAAGGTGAGGAACCACATTGCCAGAGACCACACCAGCCCAGACATATCAGCCACTTACAAAAGCAAGAACTAAATAAAACAATTGTTACTTGAAGCCACTACGTTTTGCGGTTGGTTATACAGCCAAAGCTAATTGATTCAGTGCTCATGTTACTCCCATTTTTCAGCTGGGAAAACTGAGGGTTACACACTTCAGTAAATTATCAAAGATATCAAAATGGATAGGAGAGAATCTATTACTTGATCCAAGGTACTCAGATTTCAGAGATCAACTCTTTCATCACTGTTCCTCAAGAAGCTTTTGCCTTTCTCTCCTACCCCACGGACCACACAAACAACTGAACTGCACATTCTCTTCCTCCTCTTCCTGAACTGGCATATTCTTATAAAAGCAATATACAAAATCAATTACATCTTTACATGGCAAATTTCAGCAAGAAAACATGACAGAAAAGTATTCCATTTACAATTCTTTACAAAAAATAAGATCTTTAAGAATAAATATAGAGGGATATCAGAAAAAATTGAGAGTAGGCAGCTCTACCCCTCCCATTCTTCCCACAGGAGCACTGAAAAACAAACAGGAACTGTCAGAACCAGCTTCATTAGAAACGTGGAAAACAGTCAAAGGTTTACAGCAACAAAGCAAGCACTGAATCACGAACAAGGCAACTTAAAAATGGCAGGAAAGCTTTGAGGCAGTCTTGATTGTCCTTGCTTCACCCTCCCCTGCTCAGCAGCAGTCTCCATTCCCATGCTGGGAACTTGGTCCCGGGTTCAGAAGGGAGCAGACAGCATTCATAAATTATTGTGCATGTCTGTTTGAAACTGTCTGGAGCTACTTGAAAGACCAACAGAAGATGCAGGCCTCTGTTTTGCCTAACTCAGAAGCCATTCGGGATGGAAGAGCAGTAGATGATGCTCGAAAACACCGTAAGGCTGACAACAACCTGCAGCCAACTACCCAGGCCAAAAGACAACTGTTGAGACATGCAGAGGCCTACTAGAGTGAGGGAGAAAGAGCCCAGAAAGAGCTTCCTTGGGATATTCGGGCATTCTAAAGCACCCATGTATTTGGAGGAATCTAGAACACCATGCACTTGCCCAAGGTAAGATGCATGATCAGAAAAAAACTGAGAAGACCTTAAGCTTTCATCCCAGGTGGATTCTGAGGCTCCTGGGAAATCCAGTTAAGGGGTGAAGGAAGGTCCAAGCACAGAACAATTCTGCAGAGACTACAAGAGGTTCTCCTATCTTCTCCTCCCTCCTTCTTTGTCTTCTTTCTCTGTCTTCCTCTCTTTCCCTTGATATTCAAGGAAACCTTTGGAAAAAGCTAACTGAACAATATCTAAGGAACAGACTTCAGTGACACCAATGGCAAGGAGTACAGTCTGAAAAATAGTTAAGAAAAGTCACAAAACAGACAAACAATCACAGCCCGCAACAACAACAACAACAACAAAAACAGGAGACCTCTGGAAGAAGGGCAGTCTGATTTCCAATTTTACCACACTATAATAAACAATATATGATTTTTGCAAAACTAAAGGGAAAATATTTTAAAACAAAATAAAGAAAAAATATTTTAAAACAACATACGAAAACTTACAGAAAAAACTATGCTAAAAGGGAAATTTATGGCTATAAATGCTTATATTATAAAACAGAAAAGGATCTCAAATCGATAATCTAACTTTACACCTAAAAGAATGAGTAAAAAGAGAGCACACTAAACCCAAGGTTAGCAGGAGGAAGGAAATAATACAGATTAGCACAGGATAAACAAAATAGAGAATAGAAAAGCAGACCAGGTGCAGTGGCTCACGTCTCTAATCCCAGCACTTTCGGAGGCTGAGGTGGGCGGATGGCTTGACTCAGGAGTTAAAGACTAGACTAGGCAACATGGCAAGACCCCTTCTCTACACAAAATACAAAATTTATCTGGGCATGGTGGTGCACACCTGTAGTCCCAGCTACTTGGGAGGCTGAGGCAGGAGGATCGCTTGAGCCCAGGAGGTGGAGGTTGCAGTGAGCTGAGATCATGCCATGCACTCCAGCCTGTGTGACAGAGTGAGATCTTGTCTCAAAAAAGAAAAGAAAAGAAAAAAAGGGAGAGAGAATCAACAAAGCCAAATTTGGTGCTTTGTAAAGATCAACAAAACTGACAAATCTTTAGCTGGAGTGGCGAAGATAAAAAGAGAGAAGATACAAATTACTAAAATCAGGAATGAAAGTGGGAGCTCACAGAAATAGAAAGGATTGTAAAGGATTGCTATGAACAAATGTACTCCAACAAATTAGATAAACTACGTGAAATGGACAAATTCCTAGAAACACACAAACTACCTAAGCTGACTCACAAAGAAGAAAAATAACAAAACACCTATAACAAGTGAAGATATTGAATCAGTAATCCAAAACCTCCCAACAAATAAAAGTTCAGGACCAGATGGTTTCACTGGTGAATTATTTCAGACATATAACAAACAATTAGCACAAATCCTTCTCAAACTCTTCCATATAATAGAAGAGGGAGGAATACATCCTACCTCACTGTAAGAGGCCAGCATTACCTTGATACCAAAGCCAGATTGAGACATCACAAGAAAAGTATAGGTAAATATCTCTAATGAGACAGATAAAAAACATCCTCAGTGAAACAGTAGCAAAGTGAATACAACAGCATATTAAAAGGATTATACATCATGACCAAATGGGATTTATTCCTTGAATGTAAGGGTGATTCAACCTACAAAAATTAATGGACATAATACAACACATTAACAGAATGAAGAATGAAAAAAAAAAACTCATGGTCATCTCAATTGATGCAGATAAAGCATTTAACAAAATCCAATGATCTATTATAATGAAAAAAAAAACACATCAAAGTAGGAAGAGAAGGGAACTTCCTCATCATAAAGTCTTTTATGAAAAACCTACAGCTAACATTTTACTCAATGGTGAAATAATGAAAGCTTTCCCCCTAAAATAGGAACAAGACAAGGATTTCCAATTTCACCACTGCTATTCAACATTTATTGGAAGTTCTAGCCAGAACAACTAGGCAAAGAAAATAAAAGCATCCAAATTGGAAAGGAAGAAATAAAACTATCTCTATTCACGGTTAGTATGATCCTGTCTATAGAAAACCTCAAATAATTCATGAGAAGATACTAGGGCTAATAATTGAACTCAGAAAACTTGCTGGTTACAAGATTGACACACAAAAAAAGGCTGTTTTTCTATATAGTGGCAATGAATAATTTGAAAAGAAATTTAAGAGAGCAATTCTATTTCAATAGCATCTAAAATAATAAAATATCTAGGAATAAATTTGAGGTAAAAGACTTGTGCATTAAAAACTATAAAACATTGCTTAAAGAAATTAAAGAAAACACAAATAAATGAAAAGATATCTGATGTTCATGGCTTGGAAGACTTAATATTGTCAGGATGGCAGTACTTCCCAAAGAAATCTACAGAGTCAATACAATCCCTTTCAAAATTCCAACAACCATTTTTTATGGAAATGGAAAAGCCTATCCTAAAATTCATATGGAATTGCACAGGTCCCTGGATAACCATAATAATCTTTAAAAAAGTCAAAATACACACAATTCCCAATTTACCACCAAGTTACAGTAATCAAAACAGTGTGGTACTGGCATAAGGACAGACATATAAACAATAGAATAAAATTCAGAGTCCAAAAGTAAACCCAGACTTCTGCATCCAACTGATTTTTGACAAGAGTGCCAAGTCTATTCAGTGAAGAAAAGATTAGCCTTTGCAAGAAATGGTGCTGGGACAACTAGAAAGCCATGTGCAAAAGAATGAAGTTGGTCCCCTACCTCATACCATATACAAAAATTAACTCAAAATTGGCCTGTGGCCTAAAGGCAATATCTAAAAATCATAAAACTCTTAAAAGAAAATAAAGGTTTAAATCTTTCTTACCCAGAATTTGGCAGCAGATTCTTAGAAATGACACCAAAACATGAACAACAGAAGAAAAAAATAGATGAACTGGATTTCATTAAAATTAAAAACTCACCTGCATAATGGGATATTTTATCAAGACAGTGAAAAGACAGCAAACAGAATGGGAGAAAATATTTGCAAATCATATATTTGATAAGGGCTTAATATTCAAAATATAAAAAAGTCTTAAACCTCAACAACAAAAAGGCAAGCAACTCAATAAAATGAGTTGAACAGTCATTTCTCCAAAAATAATGGCCAATAAGCACATGAAAAAATGCCCAATGTCATTAATCATTAGGAAAATGCAAATACAAACCACAATAGGATTCCATTTTACATGTACTAAGATGGTTATAGCAATAACGAAGAATAAAAGAAAAATAACAACTGTTGGTGAGGATGTGGAGAAATTGTAATGCTTGTAAATTGAAACCCTTGTCCATTGCTGGTGGGAATGTAAAACTGTGCAGACACCATGATAAAGGGCGGTGAGTCTTAAAAACATTAAAACAGAGTTACTTTCTTAGTTCCCTAGAGCTACCATTTAAAATACCACAGACTGGTTTGCTTAAATAATAGAAATGTATTTTCTCATGGTTCTAAAGGCAGAAAGTCCAAGGTCAAGGTATTGGGAGGTTTGGTTTCTGCTGAGGCCTCTCCCCTTGGCTCGCAGATGGCCACCTTCCTTCTGTGGCCTCACATGGCCTTTTCTCTGTGCACACATCCTTGGTGTCTCTTCTTCTTATAGGGAGACCAACCCTATTAGATTAAGGCCTCACCCTTATGATCTCATTTAACTTAATTACATCTTTAATGACTCTATCTACAAATATAGAAACATTGAAAGTTAGGGCTCCAACATATAAATTTTGGGGGAAATAATTCAGTCCTTAACAGTTACCATATGCCCTAGCAATTCCACTCCTAGGTATTACAATAGCCAAAGGAATTGAAAGCAAGGGCTGAAACAGATACTTGTATGCCAATGTTCACTGCAGCATTATTCACAGTGGCCACACAGATAGGAGCAACCCAAGTGTCTATCAAGAGATGAATGGAGCAACAAATCACGGCATATACATACAATAGAGTATTACTCAGCCACAGAAAGGAATGAAGCACTAATCCATGCTACAAGTTGGATGAACCTTGAAAACATTATGGTAAGTGAAATAAGCCAGACACAAAAGGACAAATATTGAATGAGTCTACTCATGTGAAATAGCTAGAACAGGTAAATTTTTAGAGACATAAATTAGATTCAAATTTACCATGAGCCTGACGTAGACAGGAATGAGGAGATACCACTTAACAGGCGGAGGGTTTCAGTTTGGAATGATGAAAAATTTTGGAAATAGTGGTGATGATTGCACAACCTTGTGAATGTACAATGCCACTGGATTGAACACTTAAAAAGATTAAAATGGCAATTTTTTGTCATTTTTTTGCCACAATTAAAAAAGCTTAAAAAAATAACAAAAGTGGCATACAACTATGGATAAAATTATGAAACTTTAAAGAAGCCCTTAAAGAGTACCTAATTAAATGGACATATATGTATATAAATATAAGTATATATTTATACATAAGTAAACACATTTATATATAAATAATGTTTATTTATTTATATCTAGATAGAAAAACTCCTTTAGGTAAAGTTCTTAGTTTTCCCTGTGTTGATCTAAACATCAATGCAATTGTGATTAAAACCTCAGCAGAGTGAGTGTGTGTGTGTGTGTGTGTGTGTGTGTGTGTGTGCACGCACGCGCACTGTAAGACACATCAAGTACATCTGTAGGGAGAAATAGATGGAGAAAATAATCAAGATCATTCTGAGGAAAACTGACTTGCCCACCGATTGGCAACACATAGTATAAATCTATAGCACTTTAGAGAGCACAGTATTCGCATGCAATAGGCAAATACACCTGTGTAACAGAATGGAAAGCCCAGACGTCAATGCACACATATGTAAAAGTAGCCACATGACAGAGGATGTACTGAGGGTCCCATTGTTGGGGCTGAGACAAGTGGTTATCCACGTGAAGAACAACAAGAAAAAAAATCAGATTTCCCACCTCACAACACACACAAAAATCAGTATCATCTCCATTAAAGTTTAAATGCAATAAGCAAAATTTAAAGAATTTAAAACTTTAAGGAGGATATATATGAGAACAGCCTTGTTACCTAAGGAGGATAAGATTTTAAAAACCAGACTTAAAATAAAAAAACATAAAAGATAACTTAAAGACTTTAATTCCTTCAAAAGATACCACAAAAGAACTGAAAAGAAGAACCCCCCAAATGGTAACTCAAGATATCTGCAATATATAAAACCCTTAAAGAAGACTTTAAAAACTCCTAAAGGTATTATAATTTTGGTATTGCTGAGTAACGTTGAAGACACACATGCCCCATCAGTGAAATTCTCCTCTAAGGTATGCTTCCTAAATAAGTATGTGCCCATATGGGCCACAATGTAAAACAAAATGTGTCACTAGTAGCACCTGCAGTCGCTAAAAACCATCAGATAGCAACAGTAATGTCTAGCAAGCACAATGGGTGAATATATCCTGACATATTCTGATAAACTCTGTGGGGCCATGAAATAAATATACCTTCAACCTTTGTCAATGTGGATGAATCTCTGGAAGAGAATACTAAGGAAACAAGGTAAGTTTTTAAATAATTTACACAATGGGATTCCATCTGTATGAATTTTATAAACATAAAAAATAAGTAACATTTTTAATACTATCTACATAAGTAACAAAACTGAAGGTAAATGCATAATCTTGCATTGTGTTCTCTTTCTTATGTATAGCTTTCTTTTTTTTATTATTATTATACTTTAAGTTTTAGGGTACATGTGCACAACGCAGGTTTGTTACATATATATACATGTGCCGTGTTGGTGTGCTGCACCCATTAACTCGTCATTTAACATTAGGTATATCTCCTAATGCTATCCCTCCCCCCTCCCCCACCCCACAACAGGCCCCAGTGTGTGATGTTCCCCTTCCTGTGTCCGTGTGTTGTCATTGTTCAATTCCCACCTATGAGTGAGAACATGCGGTGTTTGGTTTTTTGTCCTTGCGATAGTTTGCTGAGAATGATCGTTTTCAGCTTCATCCATGTCCCTACAAAGGACATGAACTCATCCTTTTTTATGGCTGCATAGTATTCCATGGTGTATATGTGCCACATTTTCTTAATCCAGTCTATCATTGTTGGACATTTGGGTTGGTTCCAAGTCTTTGCTATTGTGAATAGTGCCACAATAAACATACGTGTGCATGTGTCATTATAGCAGCATGTTTTATAATCCTTTGGGTATATACCCAGTAAACCAGTTAGAATGGCAATCATTAAAAAGCCAGGAAGCAACAGGTGCTGGAGAGGATGTGGAGAAATAGGAACACTTTTACACTGTTGGTGGGACTGTAAACTAGTTCAACCATTGTGGAAGTCAGTGTGGTGATTCCTCAGGGATCTAGAACTAGAAATACCATGTATAGCTTTCATTGACACGAGGTTACAGGGGAACTCTATAAGCCTAAGAAAAAGAAATCTGATGTTCTGGGAAAGCCTGTGTGGTCTCATCTCTGATGTATCAGCATCAGTAGACCTGTGGAAACACCAAACTTAGCTCAGATGCCCTCACCACCACTTTCAGACCCAGGATTGAAAATCATAGGCAAAGAAGGTAAAGAAATTGAAGCTCTGATTCACTTTTTATGGATTTATACCCAGAAGTGAGACTGTAGAATTGTATGATGGCTCTGTTTTTAACTTGTTGAGAAATCTCCATACTGTTTTTGACAAGGACTACACCATTTTGCATTCCCACCAAGAGTCACAAGGGTTCTAATTTCCCCATATCCTCACCAATACTTGTTCTCTTTTGATTTTTGTTAATAGCCATTTTGACAGTTGTGAGGTAATGTCTCACGGAGGTTTTAATTTGCATTTCCCTGATGATTAGCAATGTTGAGCACTTTTTCTTCTACCTGTCGGCCATCTGTATGTCTTCTTTGAAGATATCTACACTCCCATGTTAATTGCAGCACTATTCACAATACCTAAGATATGGAAACAACTCAAGTGCCCCTGGACAGATGGATGAATGAAGAAAATGTGCTATATGCCTACATTGGAATATTCAGGCTTAAAAAAGAAGGAAATCCTGCCATTTGTGACAACACAGAGGAACCTTGAGGACATTATGCTTAGTGGAAAAAGCCAGTCACAGAAGAAGAAATACTGCATGATTCCATTTATATAAAGTCGCTAGAGGAGCTAAACTCGTAGAACCAGAGCTGAACCAGAATGGTGGTTGCCAGGGGTTGGGGGTAGGGGTAAGTAGAAAGTTGTTGAATGGGTATAAAGTTTCAGTTATGCAAGATAAGTTCTAGAGATCTGCTGCACGATATCATGCCCATAGTTAACAATATGATATTGTGCACCTAAAAATTTGTTAAGAAGGTAGATATCATGTTACGTCTTTTTTTTTTTTTTTTTTTTTTTTTTTTTTTTGAGACAGTATCTGGCTCTGTCACCCAGGTTGGAGTGCAGTGGCCCGATCTCAGCTCACTGAAAGCTCCACCTCCCCAGGTTCACACCATTCTCCTGCCTCAGCCTCCCGAGTAGCTGGGACTACAGGCGCCCGCCACCACGCCCAGCTAATTTTTTGTATTTTTAGTAGAGATGGGGTTTCACCGTGTTAGCCAGGATGGTCTCGATCTCCTGACCTCGTGATCCGCCCACCTCGGCCTCCCAATCATGTTACGTGTTCTTACCATAACAGCACAAAACAAACAGAACAAAACAAAACCAAAAGGACATCAGAGAACTTTTGGAGGTGATGGATATATTAATTACCTGGACTGTGGTGATGGTAACATGAGGGTATACTTATGTCCAAACTCACCAAATTGTAAACACTAATTGTGTGAAGTTTTTTATATACCAATTATACTTCAATAAAGCTGGTGGGGGAAAAGGAAATCCTGCTGTATTCGTCCATTTTGTGTTGTTATAAAGGGTAATTTTTAAAGAAAAGAAGTATATTTGGCTCATGATCTGCAGCCTGTACAAGAAGCATGGGGCCAACATCTTTTTCTGGTGAACCTCAGGAACTCATAATCATGGCAGAAGGAGAAGAGGGAGCCAGTATATCACGTTGAAAGAGGGAGCAAGAGAGAAAAGGGAGGTGCCAGACTCTCTAAACAACCAGATTTCACTTGAGATAATAGATTGAGAACCCACTCATTACCAAGGGGAGAGCACCAAGCCATTCATGCAGAATCCACCCTCATGACTCAAACACCTCCCACTAGGCCCCATCTCCAACATTAGGGATCACATTTCAACATGAGATTCCCAGTTTGGACACACATCCTAACCTTATCACCTGTCTTTACGTGTATGGTCTTATGCATTGCCTCCCAGTAGGGTGGTGTTTCCGGGGACAGAAGGGAACATCAGCCCTGAAAGGCAGCCTTATATACCTGAACTAAGCAGGGTTAAGCATTTCTCAATCAGGTTGCAGAAATAACTGAAGGAAACCCTTTCTCACAGCAGCAAACTGTGGGGCTTAGTGTCTCTCAGTGGATCTGAAAGAAACATCAGTTTTCTTCCTTCTCTTCCCCACTTCACTCTGTCCCTCTCACCAAATCCCTGGGAATCAGCAGGGGAGCCAGGTGCTCTGGGAATTAACGTGCACCGTCAGCCACCGGCCCCTGGCTGGTGAGGGCAGCTGGGAGGGCTGGGCTGGCTTCTGGGGAGGCAGGGACCCTGGAGGCCAAGCACTGAACTGGCCCCTCAGGGGACTCGTTTTTGCCTGATTCACACTATTCACCATCTGCCACCACAAGGCCCCCAGAAATTATTTTGGAGAACTGCCACATTCTCCTGCAGCACAGATCAAGAAACCTGTCCTGACTTAAAGGGACGCTACCTACCTAATGCTTGGCAGGTCTCTTCCTCCTCTCTGTCCCTGGAACCTGTCCTCGCTGAGCCTTCCTTACCTCTCTCCACAACATCTGTCCTCTTTCACCTGGGAAATACCCAAACCTTCCTCCTCCCTGCTGAGAGTCCTGAAAGCCTGCTCTCTGGATGTTAAACTCCCACCCAGAGATGCTGACAAGGTCCCTGTCATGTAAATATACCACCTAATGCCAGGCAACCTGGTACTGAACTGAATCAAAGCTGTCAGTGATCATAAGGAAGATCATGAAACTTCACTAAGAAAGAGACTACACCGTCCATAAACTATGACCCAGTGTTTTCCTCAACCATTTATTGTAAAACATATCCCATTTTCAGAGACATGAGAAAAAGAAAGATTTGCCTTTTGGGAACTAAGAAATATGATAATTGCATTAACTATTAAGACTAATGTGAGCAGGCCTTTCACATACACAATCTCATTTATTTCTATCTTCACAGCTGTACCAAGGAAAATATTTATTTTTCGATTTTCAAATATAGAAGCCGAGAACTCCTCATCCCTCTCAAAGAGGCAGGCTAATGCTTCAGTTTGCATTTTCAGGAAGCTTGGCACTACTCTTATGACAAAAGCCATATTTGTCAGCCCCTCTACCCTGGACCAGGGTGCATGGCATTGGGCAAGTTACTTAACCTTTTTGAGCTTCATAGTTCTAATCTAAAAATATGGTTGATAACAGCCATCCCTTCCAGGTGTTGTGACAAGTGCACCAATTTATCTAGAGCATTTAGTAAAATGTGTGGCTCATGTTGAGGACTTCATGTCTAAAACACCAAAAGCAACAGCAACAAAAGCTAAAATTGACAAATGGGATCTAATTAAACTAAAGAGCTTCTGCACAGCAAAAGAAACTACCATCAGAGTGAACAGGCAACCTACAGAATGGGAGAAAAATTTTGCAATCTACTTATCTGACAAAGGGCTAATATCCAGAATCTGCAAAGAACTCAAACAAATTTACAAGACAAAAACTAACAACCCCATCAAAAAGTGGGCAAAGGATATGAACAGACACTTCTCAAAAGAAGACATTTATGCAGCCAACAGACACATGAAAAAATGCTCATCATCACTGGCCATCAGAGAAATGCAAATCAAAACCACAATGAGATACCATCTCACACCAGTTAGAATAGCGATCATTAAAAAGTCAGGAAACAACAGGTGCTGGAGAGGATGTGGGGAAATAGGAACACGTTTACATTGTTGGTGGGACTGTAAACTAGTTCAACCATTGTGGAAGAGTGTGGCAATTCCTCAAGGATCTCAAACTAGAAATACCATTTGACCCAGCCATCCCATTACTGGGTATATATCCAAAGGATTATAAATCATGCTGCTATAAAGACACGTGCACATGTATGCTTATTGCGGCACTATTCACAATAGCAAAGACTTGGAACCAACCCAAATGTCCATCAATGATAGACTGGATTAAGAAAATGTGGCACATATACACCATGGAATACTATGCAGCCATAAAAAAGGATGAGTTCATGTCCTTTGCAGGGACATGGATGAAGCTGGAAACCATCATTCTCAGCAAACTATCGCAGGGACAGAAAACCAAACACCGCATGTTCTCACTCATAGGTGGGAATTGAACAATGAAAACATTTGGACACAGGAAGGGGAACATCACACACCGGGGCCTGTTGTGGGGTGGGGGGAGGGGGGAGGGATAGCATTAGGAGATATACCTAATGTAAATGACCAGTTAATGGGTGCAGCACACCAACATGGCACACGTATACATATGTAACAAACCTGCACGTTGTGCACATGTACCCTAGAACTTAAAGTATAATAAAAAAATAAAAAATTAAATGTTTTTAATGCTCCTAAAGAAAAAGGATGCAATAATAAATGACAAGAAGAAAAACAAACGTTCATAAACATACTTTATGTTACGTAAAGTATGTTCGTAAACATACTTTATGTAAATTCTTTCATTTAATCTCATTATAGGGTTTATAGTCTACCGTGATAAAGAAAAAAAAAACCAAAAACTTAGGACCTATCTTATTCCACTCTGTCTTTTGAACTGTAAGACACTGGAGGGCAGAGATGGGGTTTGGGTCCCTAATATGCCCCGATGCCCAGCAGAGCTCCTGGCACAGAACAGATAGGCTGGCTGCCAGCATCTCCTGAGGCCAAAGACCAGTCCAGACTTCAGGCATGACTTCCTGGGCCTGGGGAGGGACAGGGGTGTGCCCCCATGGGCAAGTGCTGGGGGCCGGCCACAGGTTCCTAAGGGAGACTACAGTCATACCTGATAGGGTCTGCCATGCAGAACATGCCCACTCCACACGGCAGCAAGAGCCTGACCACGAGAGGCCTCACCTTCAAACTGGGATCCAGAACAAAACCAAGTCCACCCCAGTGACTGCTCCTGTTCAGAGCCCGCAGCCCTGCCCCATAGCCTGGGAGCCTGCCTTCAGCCTGCAGCAAGAGCTGGGCATGCTGCCTTCCTGTGGCCTCCGCTTCTGTCCTTGGTGCAGCTGTTGTTTTTAATGTGTGGGGTGAGGAAGAGGAAAGGGCTCTGGACTGGAGTAGAACTGTGGTGATAAAGGACTGGATTTGTTTGGAGGCCTAACTTCTCCACACTCATTCTTGTAGTTACCCAAGTCCACAGAGTGCCCTGGCTTTACAGAAGCCAGTTTCCATCTGCAACTGTAGTTCAAGGAGCCAGTCACTAGATGGAGACGGAGTCCAAGTCATGGCCAAATGTTCCTCACATCTGGGAGTTTGAGAGCAGAGGGAGGAACCAGGGTTTGGAAGAAGTTGATTAAGACGATCACTTAAATCCCGCAGATTTTGATCTGTAGGAGCAAGGCCCGTCCCCCATCCGTCACACCAAGGTGGTAGGGCTCTTTCTGAAGAGGGGAGGTGAGACATCACCTTGCACCCACCCCTCACTCCTCACAAACATCACTTCTCAAAAAGCCACAGAAACAGGAAAAACCACTAAATAGCATTATCCCCAGGTATGATCTTCGGCCCTTCTGCCCCCCCAATTTTAAGAAGTATAAAGGTTAGTTTAAAGATGGAAAGAAATTATCTCCCTAAAGGGCTAGGCCATGCACAAATCAGATTTCTAGCAAGTGCAAAACAGCACCGGTCACCTTGTTAAGGAGATGAGTGAACAGGCCAGGACAACCACCAGCTCATGCCTGCCAGGCCTCTTCTTTGAACCAGAGCCTGCAATGTCATCTGCATGCATGTCCTTGGTCCTTGAAGAGCACAGCCACAGAGCCACCATGACCCCCTGATGCTCCAGGGTCACTCACCTGGAAAAGGAAGAGCTTTTGAGGCTGGACTTTTGATGCAGGCCATGTTAGTAAGGGTCTGAGATAAGGCAGTGGCCACAGGGCAGAGAGACCAGCTCTGGCCTGATGACCGACTCTCCAGAAAGCAGACACAGGTGGTACTGGTGCCTGCTGGCCTCTGTCGGGCTCCCAGCATCCTGACTGCTCAATACAGTTATTGGTTTAATCCGGATTAAATCCGGACCCTAGGCTGACAGCAGTGATCTACAGGGGATGAGGATGCCATCTTCACTGCCTAGCAGTCCTTAGAACGGGAGTGGGAAAGAGCCCACTGAACTTTAGAGATCCAGTGTTGTGGGTGTGAATGCTCTGTGGGGTCTGGCCATTTTGTAGTGGACTTTTTTTTTTTTTTAGACAGAGTCTTGCTCTGTCTCCCAGGCTGGAGTGCAATGGCGCAAGCTCGGCTCTGCAAACTCTGCCTCCTGGGTTCAAGCGATTCTCCTTACTCAGCCTCCCAAGTAGCTGGGATTATAGGCGTGTGCCAGCACGCCCAGCTAAGTTTTGTATTTTTAGTAGAGACAGGGTTTCACCATGTTGGCCAGGGTGGTCTCGATCTCCTGACCTCATGATCCACCCGCCTCGGCCTCCCGAAGTGCTGGGATTATAGGCATGAGCCACCACGCCTGGCCTGTAGCAGACTTTTTATTTCAGAGTTGGTCCCAGAGCCTGGACTCTGTTCACTCACACACTGTGATGTGGCACTGTCAGATCTGCTGGAGCACTTTCAATATAACATTGCGCTAAGCAAGTGTCCCCTTTCCTGTGGGCAGACATCCTTAAGTGCCCGTCTGCTATGAGCCAGGCTCTGGTGTTTAGCACCAGAGTGAGTTGAATGGTGGCTCCCAGAATGTCTGTCCACTGAGAACCCATGAATGAGGCCTTATTTGGAAAAGGGTTTTTGCAAATGTAATTAAGAAGGGTCTGGAGATGAGATCATCCTGGATTACCCAAGTGGCCCTAAATCCAATGACAAGTGTCATTATAAGAAAAGGAGAAGACACGGGCACAGAGAAGAAGACCACATCAAGACGGAGGCAGAGCCTGCAGTGAAGCCTCTAAAACCCAGGAAGCCCAGGGTGGCGGGCAGCCACTAGGAGCCAGGAGAGAGGCATGTAAGGGAGCAGCCGTCGGAACCTCCAGAAGAAACTGACTCTGTGGGACCTTGATCTACTTTAGACTTCTGGCCTGCAGAATTGCGGACGAGTAAACTGACATTCCTTAAAGCCACTCAGGTTCTCAGGTTGTGGGATTTGCTGTGGCAGCCCCAGGGAGCTAATGGAGCCTGGTGCCACAATCACTTCACACAGCCTTCTCCACAGGGAGTCATCCTGAGGTGCGGTGTCCACTATGGCCAGCACAGTGCCTGACCAAATGTAATGGCAGTACATGCTTGCTGAGTAAATACACGGAGCTCACTGTACCCATGATGTAACTGAGAGTTATGCAGGGTGAAGTAATTTGGGGAAAGTCACACAGGTGAGATATTGGAGACCAATACATGAACACAAGTTGTCTGACACTGGCTTTTTTCCAGAAGATGGCATTACATCTCCTAATCACAAACAGTTGATCCTTTAGGTAATATGAAATTAGACATGGTCTGGCCTACTAAAAACTGATGAGGCTGCTGTGTGTGGACATCTTGTGAGTTCATGCATGCACCTGTGAGCTAATGCTCCTCTCCTCTTTCAGGACCTCCTGCAGAGCCCCTGTCCATCTCCTTGTGCCTAAGCTACCACTCCTTCCATAGTTCCAGGAATACTTGGCTTATAAGGATGCCACAGGAAGACAGGAGGCCTCTTACACTGGATGTGAAGCTATGTCATGGCACTGGCCAGTTTTGTTCATCTTGGACTCACCAATGGAACTGGCAGATGGCAGGTGTGTTAAACAATGTGACTTAAAATAAAGGGCAAATTCCTAGGTGATGATGTAATTCTAGGTCCCTGGTGTGTGGCATGAAGTGGACAGGTTACTACAGTCAAACCTTCATTGATGACAGACCCTATCTGACCACTGTGTTGTGGTACTATGCTCAGTCTTCCTGAATACTGCGTTACAGCACTGTGCTCTGTTTTCCTGCAGCACCATGCTATGTGCTAGGCTTGGTTTTTCTACAGCAACATGTTGTGGTACTGTGCTTAGTCTTCCTGCACCTGTGCTAGGATACTGTGCTCAGTCTTCCTGTGCACTGTGCAGTGGCACTGTGCTCAGTCTTCCTCCACACCCTGCTGTGGTACTGTGCTTAGTCTTCCTGTGCACCATGCTGTACTATTGCACTGAATTTTTTTGTACCTGTGCTATGGTACTGTGCTCAGTCTCTCCAGGGTCCTCTCAGTCCCACTATATGAGGCTTCACTGGCCTCGCAGGTTAGAATCTGAGAAGTGATTCTACCCCAAGACTTGGTTAGAGCAGGAGCCACTTTTATTAAGTCAGACTCTCAGAGAGCAGAATAAGTGACAGGCTGGTTGCCCATTCTTCAGGCTTCTGCTGACATCCACAATCTCCCTGAAATAAATAGGGCACTACCAAATGGTGAAACAAGCACCCAGCGTTAGACTCTATCTAATGGTGCATGTTCTCACACTGAGTCTTGGTTAGAACATTTACATTTGTGAAACAAAAAGAGGCAGCGTGTGTGTGTGTAGAAGGGCTGAAATGTGGCATGGAGTAGGGGTGCATATGCCAGTTAGCTGCAGAAAGATGCACTTCAGAAGGGAGATCCAAACCCCATCCAGAGACCCGCGAGGACCCTTCCTGACAGTCTGCTCCCAGCAGAGCTGATTGCTTTTGGAGCCCTCAGGAGCAGTGGCAGGACACACAGCAAATCTAAACTCCCTTCTTAGCCATCTAATTTCCAGTGCTGCCCCCAGCCAGTTCATCAAAGGAATTACTTTTGAGCAGATTTAATAAAACTAGCACTTTCTCTCTCTCTCCTCGGGGAAATTCATTCATAAAAGACAAAAGCATTTTGTGATAAAGAGATGGTGACTGTATTGGTTTCCCCCCACAGCCGAGGCTTCACGGGATCCAGTGGGGTTTCCCTGGGACTGTAGGGTATGAACTGCTGGGATATGTAAGTCAAACTCTGAGAAATAAGAAATACAGTACAGTAGGACAAGAAATGCGAGGGAAGCGCACCAACACATTTGTCATACATGAAGCAAGCAGGACCTAAAGAGAAATAGAGACAATTGGCTACTGTATTGAGCAGATATAATCAACACACATTTTCCACAGTTTAGATAACTTTTTGTGCTATCATATAAGAGATACAGAGACTAGGAAATTCTGAAAATATTATTAGAGGTGTGTTCTGTCTAGATTCCTTTCTGGTCTACTGAATTAGACACAATGTAATCATTTTATTGACTATACTATAAAAGTGTATTTGAATTGTGGCATAAAAAATAATTTAAGGGCCAAAGAACAGTTACCAAAATATCCACTTATATTATTAACCTGTGAGAGAAATGATTCATACAAAACACAAAAATGTGTTTGCCTTTGAACATATAAGGTCTGAGGAGGTGAGAAACGACAGTCAATGATTTATAGATGCACATATTTTTGACATGATTTTACAAGTGGAGAAAGGGAAAAGATGGCTCCTGAGAGCAGCTAGAGAGGAGCTGGGTGATAAACCAGGAAACGAGAGAGCAGACCACAGCTACAGGAGACACACCATTTCTGGGCTCACTGAGCAACAGTTCCTATGGCCCACAGCCGACCCTGGGCAGGTGGGCTGGAAACAGAGGATCCCATGTGTCCTGGGATGCACAGCTGGTCCGGGGCCATGCCCGGCTCTCACACACTGCAGGGCGTCGCCTGCTTCCTCTTGTCAGTGGGGAGCAGGACATTTGGAGCTACCCCACAGGAGAGAGAAGATCCTGGAAAGACCCTGCCGTGGGAGGCTCTGAGTGGAGGTGGGAGGGTGACACTCTCTGGACAGCTAGTGCTGCACCACAGACTGCTCCCAAAGACACTTGCAGCATAAGTGCAAAACTCATACGTCACTCAAAGTTGGGCCCCTATCTTGCAGCCTCCCCAGCCCCCACTGGTTAGACAGGGCATCCCACTCACAAAGCTGACTCCTGTTACATTTCTCCCAGAGACAGATCTAATTAGCGACTGAGACCTGTAGAAGCTTCCGACTTCCCACCCATGTTGCTGTGGAAGCAACATGCTGTGCTAGCCCTATCTCATTTTCTGCATTCTAATGCTTTGACATTGAGCCTTGCTGACGTTGGAGGGACTGCCCCTCCCAGTGCTAACCCATTCCAGGAGATAGTAAACCACTCACCTGTGAGTGCACTTTTCTTGTTGATTACCCAATCAGAGCTCACATCCCCATGACCTCCTCTGCGGGCTTTCACACTGAGAGCCACTGTCCACCTCTTCTGATCATCAGGGCCAGGTTCCAGACACAGGGGCAGTTCCTGTGCTCACAGTCTGCTGAAATCACTCCAAGTAGCCAATCCTAAGCCCGCCTCACCCCTTCTTCCCGTGGAAGCCACCATGAGGGCTTTTGCTCATATTTTACTTCAGCTTCTTCTGCCTCCTGACCCAGGCCAGCGTGCCCCTGTGTGTTCCTCAATAGAACACCCTCTTCTCTTGGGATATCTGAGTATAACCAACTCTCTTTGAACAATGATGATCATCTCATGATCTGTTGACCTTACCATACCCAATAATAAAACCCACATTTTCAAACCCTTGCCCTTGGGAGGGTCACAAGTAATAGCACTAAACTAATAATGGTCAGGGATCCCTGCAAGGCTCTGTGCTCAAGCCACACACACACATTCACTATTTGACCCTCTCAGCAACAATTCTACAGCACAGATAACACTATTATGCCAATTTCAGTATTCAGAAATAGAGGATTAAAGAGGATAAGTAACTTGTCAATAGTCGCAAATGATACTAGTCAGATGTGGAATTTACAACCTAATTATATTATATTATATATATTATATTATATTATATTATAATAGGTTCACACATTTTTGTGTCTTAATATTACATCCCACAGGGGATTCTTATATCCTGGCAGTGACCCTTTTAAAATACACCTATTCGTGTCACAAGTCCCTCTCTACAGCTTGCTATTCTTTTAAAAACTTTGCAAATAACAAGCCAACATTTTCAAAGACATCCCAATTTGACACAGACCTTCTGCTCACTGCAAGTTAGAGTTAAATTCTGCAGGTAGGAAATTTACAGCCTCACACTGAATAATTCACATATGCAATCTGTCAAACTGCTAATTATTCCTTCAAAGAAAAACAATCAGATATTTGTATCATAATATTTTACCTCATTTAGGCTAAACTGCCAAGGTGTCAGAGTGATTAGGAACCTACTTCTCTGGCTGTCAAATGAGGCTGGGGAAATTTACATATGTATAAAGGAGGGAAAATGTATGCATTCCTATATCAGGAAATTATGAGTTAATTCAACCAATGTGGAGCTCAGGGAGTTAAGCATTATCTGCTCTTTGCTCTTTAGGCACAGTGGATACTGTGATGAAAACGTCTCTGTGGTACTCACAGTTTCATGCAGGAAATAAGTATGGCAATAATAATAACAGTGTAATAAGGAGAAAAGGAGAGAGCCATCTGTCTTAGCCCACAAGGCTTTCTACAGTGATAAGCCTTGAGCTCATCACTGTCAGGCCATGGCCAAATTTGGAAGCTTGGAAATGACACTCCAAGCACAGAAAAAGGCATATGCAAAGACGTGGAAGTGAGGGAGAACTTTATGTTGTTCTGCAGATGTCAAAAATGTCCCACAGGGCTGGAGCCCTGCATGTAGTTCTGGGAGCAGCAACAGTGGACAGCTGTTAAGAGACCAGATCACAGAAGTGCAGGTAAAGACCTATGTTTGTTGTTGTTATTGTTTTAGTCCATCAAATTTCTTTCCATATTTACCACAGAGGAAGTGGCGACATGCAGGTTGGAGCAACAGTCTTGGGGGCGACTCTTTGCACCAAATGGAGTGATGGAAAGGTATTGGAAATGGGGTGGATTCATATCTTAGTAAGTCTGGTTGGCTCTATTGACTTGCTTAGATCCTTGGGATAGTTATCTCTAAAGAAGCAATGTGATATCATCCAAAAAAAGCAATGTTTATTTTTGAAGCTGCCTGAAATACTTTTTGGAAAGCAGGACAACATGGATAACTTCCATGGACTGGAGCCGTCTTTTATCATGACTGTACCAAGGAAGCATTTAGAACAAAATATCCACAGGGGCAGGTGTCAAAGACTCATTAGTGAAAACTCTCCAGTGATGAATATGTAAGATGAGAAACGTGTGGGTGTGCACACGCACTCACACTAACTCACTCGCTCTTCCTTCCTGCATTGCTGTTTGTTTGCCACTCCCACATCACAAGGTTCTATATCTGTGGCCATAGAGACAGGGGAAACTTACCCTGTCATTCTGATGTCTGTTTTGTACTGGGAAGTGCTCTTGGGTTTAATTTTGTTACAATGTCAAGGTCTTTTATTAGGAATTATAATTTGCTTCTGAAGTATCACCGAAGGTTGGTATTTTAAAGTTAGGAATTTCTGTATTTGAAGACTGACTTTGGGTAGGAAGTCCTCTTGGCCACAAATATTCTGTATTGTGTTAGCATCTGACCAATTTCACACAGACAACTTGCCTGCCTCTCTCTCTCAGATATATTCCTTCACCATTCTACATTTCAGTGTTTTTTACAGTTGAACTAGTAAATGTCAAGGGTTTGCTATCTCACTAATATATTGATAGTAATAATCACAAGCATTGTTGTTGAAATTATAGATTGTGTGTGAAAATCTAAGTTTCTATAGAAACCATAGATGCTTAACAGATGGATAGAGTCCTAGAGATTGTATATTTAAATCATCTATCACCTTTTTTTTTTCCTTCGACTTTTAAGTTCCAGGGTACATGTGCAGTGTATGCAGGTTTGTTACATAGGTAAACGTGTGCCATGGTGGTTTGCTGCTCCAATCAACCCATCACCTAGGTATTAAACCCAGGCTCCATTAGCTCTTCTTCCTGATGCTCTCCCTTCCCCCACCCCCACTGACAGGCCCCGTGTGTGTTGTTCCCGCCCATGTGTTCATGTGTTCTCATCGTTCAGCTCCCATTTATAAGTGAGAACATTCGGAAATAACTTCCTTTTGAAAAAGGAAAAGTGAAGCCCAAAAATGAGGACGAAAGTGAATTGCCGGCCGGGTGCGGTGGCTGCTGCCTGTAATTCCAGCACTTTGGGAGGCCAAGGTGGGCAGATCACCTGGGGTCAGGAGTTCAAGACTAGCCTGGCCAACATGGTGAAACTAAAAATACAAAAATTTAGTTGGACGTAGTGGCGGGCACCTGTAATCTCAGCTACTCAGGAAGCTGAGACAGGAGAATCGCTTGAACCCAGGAGGCAGAGGTTGCAGTGAACTGAGATCGTGCCATTGCACTCCAGCCTGGGCAAGAAGAGCCAAACTCCGTCTCAAAAAAAATAAAAATAAAAATAAAAAAGTGACTTGCCCAAGGTAATGTGGCTGCTACGTGTCAGATCCATTGACCCTAAACCAGAGTCTGAATCAAAGACCAGGGCTCTCACAATCTTCCATGCTGCATTACCTTTCTAGGGCTTCTGTTTGCTACAATTTTATGGCCCATTAATAAGCAGAAATTTATATTCAGCAATGGATATACAATTAATTGAGTAACATAGTATAAATATTGCCCAGGGAAGTATTTATAGGACAATATTTTAGAAGCTTTCATATCTATAGTTATCTAACTCTGCCAGGGCAAAGCCGATCGTTCTGACAGACCTGGCTTGGCTTACCTAGAACTGTGAAAATGGAAAGTTTAGTAACTTAATGACATTTCCAAATGTAAATACTGCAGTGTTTTAAATTGCTTTAAAGGTTGAGAGGATAGAATCGACGCCCTTCAGGGACTCAGCCAGTCATCATAAGGATTGATGTAGAGATATTCTCTACTAGCATGCATGACGTCCACTCTGAGTGTGCGATTCCCGTCTGAGCAGACCTTTCCACGTTGCGGTCCAAACACACCTTAGGTGAAACATCACACATTCATCCACCTGTTGCCATCCTCTCCTGCAGCAAAACCTGCCCTCAGTCTCCTCCTGTGCTGCCAACCTTCATGAATCATCACCCAGCCAATTCCATGGCCAAACCCAGAAATCTTCATTGACTTTTTCCCTTCCCTTACACATAGGCCCCTGTAATAGAATGAGTCCTAACTGTCACCTTTTCTTCATCTTTTAAAGCTCTGCTATCTCTCCATCTATCAGGGATTATTACCATTGGTCTTCTTTTTTCCATTCATCCTCTGCACAACTGACAGATTGCGTTTTCTAAGATGAACTGTCATCACATCAGTGCCCAGGTTAAGTCCTTGCACAATGCCCTGTAGCGCTGGGGGCAACATTTCAAATCTTCGCTTCTCATCCCAGTGCTTCTATGACCTTGTCTCTAATAGACCTCAGCTGTTGCTGCTCCCCAACCAACATGCAGGACTCTAGCCCTCTGGGACATTTTTGACATCTTTACCTACGTTGTGGACATTACAAACTGGAAACCTTTCTGTACATACAAAACTAAAATCATTCATTGAATGATTAGTTTTTTGTTTGGTGTTTGTTTTTTACTTGAGTAAAATAGTCAAATTATCGTGAATTAGTGCTTGTAAGCTGGACCTCTGCTGTCCAAACTCATTAATGGTAGACCCTTTCATTTCTTGAATAAGAAATTGGCACATATAAACAATCTCTGAAAACATTTGCTTAATACGTCCATGGGCCTCACTGAGCTGTGTCTCCTCTTCGCTTGGGAGATTTTTCACATCTGATGTTTCTGAGAGCTTTATGTTCCTGGAGCCATCAGGAAAGGGGCTCACCCATGAGAAAATGAAGTTTAAACCAGAATTTGAATTTGGATTTTTATGAGTATGGCAGAATATTGGAATTCCCATATTTTCCACTTCTTATTGGTTACAGTAAGCAAGAAGTTCACAGAAAACTGCATGTTCTCACTTGTAAGTGGGAGCTAAACATTGGGTACTTAGAGACATAAAGATGGTACCAGTAGACACTGGGGACTGCTGGAGCAGGAGGGCAATGCAGCGACTCGGGGAAAGGGAAGGGGAAAAACAAACTGTTGGGTACTATGCTCAGAGTTCATGAGCTCACTATGAGATCACTTGTACCCCAAACCTCAGCATCACACAGTACACCCAGGTATCAAACCTGCACATGTATTCTTCTGAATCTAAAAATAAAAGTTGGAAAAAAAACAGAAACGGGAGATGAATAATATTATGAGATATCTTTTACTATGCAGTGAAAGCATGAGTAAACACACTTCTTTTCTACAGAATCTGGCCACCTTCTAGATGACATGTATTAAAGCTACATGGCCAAATTCATACTATGAAATTTCCCTCTATTTCAGCATCTCCAGGGAAATCACTAATATTGGACTTGCACAAATTATTGCATTATCTCCCATATTTATTCCCAATAACTTTAAAGACAATTATTCTGCAAGTATACAGACAATTCCTGATAAGAACATTCCTAAGTTCACTGACACATGATTATAGGGTGATTTCTGGAAGCATCCTACAGGTAAGGGTGTGGATTCACTGTTGTGTCACTGAGTTACACTGGATGGTGAAACTCTCAACACAAGTTTCTTAATCTCATTTACTCTCCTGTATTATCTCTAAGGTTTTAGGTTCTCCCCTATACTGACTTCAGTAAACTATCATACCTAAAGGCATCCAATTAAAAATAAAATAAAATTAAAATGTCATGACGTTTTAGTAACTTTTAAGTAAGTTAAAGTATACAGATAATATAGTTTTAGGTTTCTTTTTATTTCCTGAATGATAACATCTCTCATGAGCTATGGCACTGCAATAGCCATTTACTAGTTCATGCATATCCACTAAGATTTAACATGTATTTATCAAGTATTTATATAACACTAATGACATCACTTAAAAGAGTTGAATTGGCCAGGCGCGGTGGCTCACACATCTAATCCCAGCATTTTGGGAGGTTGAGGAGGGTGGATCACCTGAGGTCAGGAGTTCAAGACCAGCCTGGGCAACATGGTGAAACCTCGTTTCTACTAAAAATACAAAAAGTTAGCTGGGCGTGGTGGCGAGCACCTGTAATCCCAGCTACTCAGGAGGCTGAGACAGGAGAATCGCTTGAACCCAGGAGGTGGAGGATGCAGTGAGCTGAGATCACGCCATTGCACTGCAGTCTGGGCAATAAGAGCAAAACTCCATCTTAAAAAAAAAAAGAGTTGAATTTACAACATTCTCCTCCTAGGAGTTATTTTCTATCAAGCATAATATAAACAATTGCTTTGGTCATGATTTCCCACAAAAATGGTACTCCATGAAAAATGTCTGCAAAAATTATTACACATTATAAGAAATGTGTGGACAAGGGCATCAAGTAGGATGAATGATTAGAAGAAATGCAAACCATGCTAAGTACATTTCTACTGCAGGGCCTCCCTGAGTGTGTCCCACAGAACCTCTGTCCTCCCGGAAGGTCTGAGGGAAAAAGCTCCACGTCCAAAGCATTTTAGGAAATCTGCTATATCTGGCGATTTGTTATATGCACTATAACAGTTAAGCTCTGAGTCATGAAACTTCCAAAAGAAAGACTTGCTCAGTACTGTTTAAGTGAAAATTTTATATCCATACTTAAAACACTGAATCCCTACCTTAAATTCCACCAATTCATTTAATTCCTCCACTATGAAATTGTTTCTTTTTGCTTGCCTACAGTACTTTGAGCTGACTGTTCTGTTTACTGCTTTTTCCTGATTCTCTTACTTTAAAAAAAAAAAAAAAAGTAATGTGTAAACATCTTAGGCTGTTTCAGCAAATACTAGCTCTCAAAACATGGCCACAAGCCTAAGTGGAATTCATCTCTGCAAACAGGGAATAGTCAGGCCTCTTTCTTGCTTTGGTTACTTGAGTCTGGAGCACAAAGGCCACTTGCTCTGGAATCCCTCCTGGGCCAGAACAGACAGCTTCGCTTGTATGCATTATGTCTCATAATTCAGACAGAAAAAAATTCCAGTCCACATTCCTCTGGAATCCAAATAAGACCAAATATTTCAATTTTCTGTCCTTGCAGTGGCATCCAATCTTGAAAAAGGTATTCCTTCTAGCTCTTCTCCTGACACCATCTGAGTCTGTTCTTTGCATCCCATCAAGTCACTCATGTTAACCCACTATAGTGTTGACCAGCTTTCACCAAGAGGCAGAAAACTTGAGACAGGGCAACAGCTCTGACTCGGGGGTCAGAGAAAGGATGGAGAGGGACAAACTATGAGTGGCTTGACTCACTGCGAACCTGAAATACGGGGAAACTAACTAGAGATTTTGGAGAGTTTTCTTGAATGCCGGATCCACAAAAATGAACAATAAAAGAGTGAATAATCGGCTTTTTATGCAAACAGCTTTTGAAGCTGCACTGAAGCAATTTTCTTAGTAATATGGGAAGAAAAAATAATCAAACCAATACTCCTTATGCTCACAAAATAGAATCAGAGGAGTTAACAAAGACTTATTTATTTGAGAACCTAACTGACTGATTTGTGCTCAGTGATCCATAGTCACCCCCTCCCACCGCTAAACATTATTACACAGCACTTGAGGTTTATAAAACGGCTTTCCACCATGCTGGGGGCTACCAAGCAGCAGCTGGCACATCCTGATAAACAAATGATGGATCTGGAATCAGTCACTAATCAGATGTGATGGGCCCCTGCGAGGCAGACAGTACATGCAATTAAAACCTCAGCACTGCTGATGATCTGCTGCATGACTGCTAGAATTTCCTATACTCCGTGCCCCTCCACCATACCACCAGACATTCCCCACAGCTCTAGAACACCATAGTCATTTTCATAGTTTACATTTAGCATCCAAAGAAACATATTTGTTCATCTACAACTCTCTCGAAAATAGCTTCCTAGGTTTTCTCTACCACTGACGGAAGAACAGTCACTCTTCTCAGACAGGCTCTCCTCGGGTGGAAAGTGAGGTGCAAAGTGAGAGCCAAGTAAAGGCGCTCCTGCTCCGGAAGCCTGGTCAGCCCGTGGGCCAGGGTTGTCCATGAGGCGAGATAGACACGTCCCAGCACCCATTTCCTGGAAACAGACCTTACTGCCTGGGCCCTCGCCACAGCTTTGACTTTAGGAAAACATGATCTGATCCTAGAAATCATTCATTTGGGAAAACAGCTACAACAAAAACTTAGCTTGGAACCACCAGATCTTCTTTGAATGCTTCTAACTTTAGGCTCTAGAGACATGGGACGTCACGATTTGAAACATGTGGTTCTCACTCCTAACTTGAGTTCATGTCAAAGGCCCCGTTTGTGAAGTGGCTTTATTTCTGCACGCAGCTCTTTCCTCTCTGGCCATTTTCAAATATTACAAATTCCCACTTGCATGGATCCAACATACATAGTCCTCAGCCTTCTAACCATGGGTACCACATGAGAGATCTCTGGCAACAGACAAAGAAAACCTCTTTTTTTTTTTTGGCTCTTGTTTGAAGGTGGTAATCCTCCAGCCAGATCTTGTCCAGGTGAAACCTCCCCTAGGTTTCTCAACAATTATTATATTGGTTTCTCTCTGCTTTAATCATGAGAATGTGAAACATCATTCAGTTCAAACAAGAAATTTTGGAGGGATAAAAGACATTTCTTAACAAGTGAAGCTTTGGTTGTCCTCAAATTTGATGGCATTAGAGCATGTTTTAAACGAGCATATAAATTAAATGACATCACATATTGTAAGTTATCCCCATTGCTGCAGAAGTACCATGGTATCAATTAGACCTCAGGGGACACACAGGCCAAATTTAAATTCTGCCTTTCATTCTTATATTGGTGCTGCCATAATAAAATATCACAGACTGGGTAGCTTAAATAACAGAAATGTATTTCTCACAGTTCTGGGGGCTGGAAATTTCCAGATGCAGATACAGGTGGGTTCTTGTCTGGTGCGGGCTCTTGTCCTGGCTTACAGACAGCTGCCTTCTCACTGTGTCCTCACATCACAAAAAAGACAGGGAGGGCTCTGGGGTCTCTTTATCTTCTTACATAAAGGCCCCACTCCTATCAGAGAAGGGCCCTACCATCGGGAAATCATTTACACTTTATCACCTCCCTCACAGGCCCTATTTCTAAATTCTGTCACACTGGGGATTAAAGCTTCAATATACAAATTTTAGGAGGACACAATTCAGTTCCTAGCACATCTTAACAGTTGTGTGACTTTGGGCAACTTATATATCACCTCTCAGCCTTGTTTTCTGATTTGTAAAATGTACATTATATTGATTTCATAGTGTTACTGTAAGGCTTAAATGATTTAATATAAGTTAAAAAGCTCCTGGAAAATCCTGGAAACTTTTAGGTCCTAAAAAATAAATTGTAGCTATTACTATGTCCCTTGTAACCTTATGGAGATGTTGGTTAATCCTTCCCTCAAAACACTGCTTGTACGGAGCCACGTTCTACTCCAAGGGCATCGTCTACTCAAGCGCTGTAGGATGCTCTGCAGCCTGTCCCAGAGACACAGGCCCTCCTGTGCTAGCCCTGGGAGAACTCTAGCTGTGAGCACTCACATCCTCAGCACGGCAGCCTCCCGGCTCCCATCCTCCACTGACAAGATCCCAAAAGACCGGAGTCTGCTTCAATCCTACTGTCTCCTGACCCCACTCTGTCAACATCTGTACTCCCCTAAAAGTCCAATTAGTTATTCCTAAGGAAATGAAAAAGTGCACCAATCTGCTGGAAAAAAAGTAAGAGATAATAGATAAGTCTCATTATGTGTTTAACAGAATATTGTTCAAGAATCTCAAGTGAGAAATGTCTCACATCCATAGAGCATTTTGCCTTTTACGGTTGTGTGCTCCCAGCATGTACTTACGTTACTGAGGTTATAAGCCCTGCCTCTGCCTCCTAATTCACACAGGCTGGCATTAGATGGGGGGATAGGGAAGACAGCCTTCAGGATCTTCAGTCCTCTGTCCCCCTAGCTAGAGTGAACTCAATACTTGGGCCAGACCAGTCCATTTGGGACTTGCACATCTGGACTGGATAGCATTGACTTCCCTTTGAATTGCTTCCAGTGAGCTGCATGTGACACTATCCCATCAATGTACAGGGAAGAAAGTTATAGGCAGATTTTTGAACTTTATGTTTGTATTTTCTGTAAGGATTTGAAAAAATTTTTCATTATATCATAAGGACTAATGGGAAGATTTCTCTCAGGTCTCAAAATAAGAAATAAATATGCTCCTCCTAGGCAACACATCTTTATTTTTATTATCAGCATCATGGATTGTGCGATCGATTAGATTTCCACCCCCTCGGCTACTGGAAAATTCAAAATGAAATTTGTATTCCATCTCTGGTAAGTAAGTATTTGGAAAGCATTTGGAGGCATAACCTTGCCATTCAATTTATCTTTTTTCCTTCTTCCTCTCAAATCTCATAACTTTAAAATTTTTCCCTCACAAAAATGCAAGTGATTCCCTGGAGACTGTAAATCCAGCAAGTGCCATGACTGATCAGACGTCCTGAGTCCATGTCCAGAACTCTCCCCATGACCTCCCCCGGCCTTCAGGGATTCCAAGGCAAAACTCAAAGTGAAAGATACCTCTTCTGTTTTAAGCTAATAAGGGGGGACCCAAAAGTCCTTCACATGTTCTGGGGCACTTATACTATTGCCTGACACAGTAGGCACATCATCGAGGTGACTTGTTATTGGTTTCCTTGCATTTAATACCAGGTTTTGCAAAAGATAGACACAATTTTCAGCAATTACTCTAAGAATGTCTAAATTTAATTAAGTTCTATTCCTCAAGCCAATATCCAAAATGTTTGCATGGTTCATTGAGTCTCACAGTGCTCTGGTTATTTAAATATTCCCTCATTGAATATCACAGTTGCAATTCTTAATTTAAAGTCTGCACATCTCTATGGAATATGTTTAATAAAAATGTTTGAAAAGAACTGGGTCATTTTGGTTAAGGTTCTCAACTCACTTCAATAGTTGCCACATATGATCATCTGTAAAGTCAATTTTTAATGTCACACAAATCAAATAAGTTAAACTTCAAAGACTAAATTTCAAGCATTTAGTGACTATATACTTCAGTAATTAGTTGTGCACACATTCTCATGATTTTTGACATTTTGTTCAAGGGTAGGAAAAAGGTGGTGTCAAACTCTGATCTAATTGTGACATATCAAGTGAGGATGCTCTCTGAGAAGAATATATGATACAACTTACTAAAGAAACCAAACCAATCTACATATATCTACAACTAAACAGTGGTTTGGTTTCTTTTGTAATGTATCTATATTATTTGCATACAAAAAACCTAAAAGATTTTTTCTAGGCCTCAAGAAAGATTTTTTATAAATCCATGCACACCTAGGTATAGATTTTTTGTATTTATTTATTTATTTATTTATTTATTTATTTATTTATTTATTGAGATGGAGTCTTGCTCTGTTGCCCAGGCTGGAGTGCAGTGGGGAGATCTCAGCTCATTGAAACCTCCGCCTCTGGAGTTCAAGCAATTCTCCTGCCTCAGCCTCTGGAGTAGCTGGGATTACAGGCAACTGCCACATGCCTCACTAATTTTCATAGTTTTTTTTTTTTTTTTTCAGAGACAGAGTTTCACCATGTTGGCCAGACTGGTTTTGAACTCGCTACCTCAAGTGATCTGCCCACTTCTGCCTCCCAAAGTACTGGGATTACAGGCCTGAGTCACCATGCCCAGTCCACACTTAAGTATAGATTTTAAATATCATTTCACTATAAGTCACAGACCAAAAATTTAAGTGTAAAAATATTAATGCAAACCATCAGCCTACACATTTATCTCTTAGTTCATGTTAGTAGAAAAAAATTCAGTTTGGTTTTACAAATATGAATACAATTATTGATTGAATGTATCTGCCTAAAATATTCTATCCAAATTAAATTTGATGATGTGATGCCATATGGAATAATCTGAGAACAGCAACACAGACTTCTATCTGAACTCAGAATGAAAACAAATTAACTAGCAAACTCCCTTTCTCTGGCTTCTATTCATTATCATTTGCAAATTATGATTTAATGCCTAGGAATCAATAACCAGAAAATTGTATTTTCTTCTAAAGCAATTTAATTTATCATTGTTTGTTTTTATAAGAAATTTAGTCGTGATACCATGACTTTTTGTTTCATACAATTAAAAAAATGGTCATTATAACAAATTCGAAAAATATATAAAGAAGAAGCAAAAGGTTCAAAGAGAGATAGCTAATGCCAATAGTTTATAATTTCCTTCCAGTATCAGTCAATCCATCAATCATACATTTTACTTATAAATTACATTGCTTTAACACAATGCTGCCAAACCCTAAAGTGCACGTGGACGCAACACAAATTGCCACACCACTTTTTCAGTAATTCTCCACTGAGCCCCTTCTGTAATTTTCCATTTCTTCATAGGCTCCAAGTTTCTTTTTTGTTCTTCCTTTTTGTTCCCTCTCCGTCCTCCTTTTAAAAACCTCAGCCACCTTGGTCTTAGTTGAAGTTGAGCTCAGTTTATACTGGATTGTCTCCCTTACTGCAGCTGTCTGAATACAATCTGTCTTGCCCTCTTTAACAAGTGTTCAGTCCTGATTCTCTTTAAAAATTACTGACCCTGGTCATCCCAGCCCCCACCATGCATTTAAGAAAATTTGCACCCAAGCCCACATGTGTCACTAGCTTAAATACTGAGAAAGAAAAGAAACTTCATCTGAGGAATGTGAGCCCCCTTTAATTATCAGGACTAATTACATCAGTCACCTCTCATTCCTCCTTGAACTAAATAATTACTGCTTGAAGCCACTTGCTAGGTGGGCTCTGGACTAACTGATGTCCAGTAGCCATAAAATGCCATATGCTGGACACTATGTCCTCTACCCTATAGTTCAACAATGAATAGCCAATCACTGACCAATGTTACCGCTATAAACCAGTGAGAATTCTAGGCAAACAACTTTGTATCAGGGCACTCTTTGTCCCCATTTGCCTTTAAGAACCTGTCTGTAACAAAGGAGCACTCCCCAAGGCAACTTGGAATTGTGTCCTAGGCTGCTGTGTTCAACCTTGACCCAAATACACTTTCTATATTAATTTTTCCTCAGCTTCTATCTTTAGGTTGACAATATCTCCCCCATCCTGGCCTCCACCACCACCACACACAGTTTAGATTAACAACTGTATGCAGAGGGTGGCTCCAGGTCTTCTGACTCACAAGCATTTACAGCCAAATTTCCTGTCCCCATGTGAGATCACGACTCCAATCCTTGGGGCCTCCAGCCAGTCCCAAACCCCCAGAATCACATGGCATTGCCTGTCTGATATTACTCTGGGATTTGCTTCTTACTTGATTTCTAGCACCTGGGGAATTTTATTTTTTCCAAACTAAGCTAGATATTTTAAAGGCAAATATATTCAGCATTTACTCGGCATTTCGTGTTTGCAGTAGGAAGGATTCATGAACCTCAGCTCCATCTGCCACGTGACCAGAAACCCTATTTTCTACTGATAATTCAGCATATAATACAGACTGACACTCAGTAGGACTAACAGATCTGTGGAATAATCCCCACTTGCTCATTCACTTGTTGCATGAATATATATTTACATAATTGGAGTCCTACTTTGATAGTTTTGTATCTTGTTTCCAGCATGGACTTCTTAATGTATGATGAAAGCTCTCTGCCTAGATTCATTTTCCATATAATTGAACTATTTGATTCCCACAGAGTCCCCTGGAAATGAATTAGCCACTGGGGATAATGAATAGAGGACAAGAGAACATGCCAATGAACTGCATCAGGTCAACCTTGAAGTTTGCCTCAAGGCCCACATAACCCACACGGTGATATTCAGCTAACCAGAACAGCCCTGCGCACAGATCAGAGAGTATTGTGGTGGAAAATAGAAGGGCTCCTTTACTCCCAAGTCTACCCATCAGCCTAGAAACCAGTAGAATCATTATCACTGCTGGTTTTGCTCAGCCAATACGCTTCCCATGGTATGAAATCAACTTTATGACTTCTGGATGTGATGATCCACAAGCCACCTCTGAAATTAACAGCTAAGCTGATGATCCTGCAAAACTTTATCTGCTTTGGTTGCTTTTAGTTCCTTTTTTCTAGTTGATCTTGAAACCTATATAGCTAAAAGTCATGAGCTAAACAATATATAACTAAATTCCCACTGCCTGACTTATAGATAGAATCTATAAGTTACGATGGTAAGTTGCTTACATTGTTTTTCAGGAACTTGGGGTCAACTCTTGTCTGGTTCAAGCCATCTGAGACCACTGACCCTCCAACTGGACAGGGTTGATTCCCTGCAGCAATGTTCAATGAGTGATCTTCTAACATTAGAGGGACAAAAATATCACTCTCAGATGATGTTAATGATGCCATTTTGTGAAGATGTATTCCATAAAGAGCCATGAAGCTTGACTACATTTGCATGGACCACTGATTACCTCATTTTTCCTCACTCCCAATCACCTTTCCTAATGCGTTGGACCACCTTGCTCCTTTATCTCATAAATATCTGTAAGACCCCATCTTCAGGGAGGTGGATTTGAGAGGTGTTCTCCCACTTCCTTGTTTGGCTGCTTTGTGAATAAAATCTTTTCTCTACTGCAAAACTTGTTATCTCAGTGATTGGCTTATTGTGCAAGGGGCAGAACATGCTGGCTCATTATCACTTCCACATTCATCTTTCTGGCCTGGATCCCATCTCTGAATTCCAAACTCCAAATCTCTACTTGAAGAAGTTACTCAGACTTCTAATAGACTTATCAACTTACCACAGACAAAACTGAACTCTGCATCTCCCTCCACTACCTCCTGTTACACCCACATTCTTCTCTGTGTCAATAAACATCAATCCCATTCATTTAGTTGCTGACACTAAACGCCCTGCAGTTAACCTGGAAACCTTCCTTTCTCTCATGCCCAAATGCAATGCATCAGCACGTCTTATTAGCCTAACCTTCATAGTATCCTTTGATCTTTAGCCCTTACTCTGGTCATTTTGACTTCTGGACTTTTCACATTTCCAACTCAGGATGTACAGGGCTTATAGCTGCAATTCTGGAAGTGTACTTCTCCAGAGAAGACTTTTAGACTGTGATCTCCTTGGAGCAGGGTTGATTTCTGATCCATACTTTTAACCTTAGAGCCTAGTGAAGTGCCTGGAGGTACTTGGCAAATGACCAAAGAAAGCTAAATGACAACTGGACAGAGCACATTGCCAAGAAGTTAATATAGCTTGACAAAGTCTTGGCAATGTAGAATTTTACCTGAATGTTGTTAAACACAGTTGATGAGAGGCTGTTGGCTTGGACCAGCCTCCTGCACTAGGCCCCAGCAGACCAGACCAGACCAGAATAGACAGACTTGTGCTAAGTGCCATGGAACCAAACAGAAGTTTGAAATAGGTCAGTTTTCCTAAAAAACAGGAGATTTCAGTCAACCTGGTTCAGCACAATAAGGAAGTTCCCTCTGTTTTAACCCTGTAAGGAAAGTAACTTTCAAATGACCAATACACTTTTTGTTCCCTGTTTCTGCTTCCTTAAGTCCTTTCTGCCTATAAAGCCAACCTCCTCTGATCAGCTCATAGGAACCTCATTCTATTTCTCAGAAAATAGAGAATAGAATTCTCTATTTCTCAGAAAATAGAATGAGGTTCTATTTCTCAGCAAATTCTGTTTCTCAGAAAATAGAATGAGGTGATGCTCAATTCTAGAATAGCAAATAAAAGCTAATTAGATCTTTAAACAAAATTTCTTATAATTTTGTCTTTTGATGTGGTAAAGGAATATCCCACTCTTTTGTATCCCTAAAAACAGCTTACAGCAAAGACTCACCCCTCTCATATGACTTAGATGTGTGGATGCCCCCTTGTTCCCTGTGAAAAAGACAAAGACCTTGCAAATTCCCATTTTTCTGCCTCATAAATAATTAGCTGAACTGCTTTGTCCCCACTGATCAACTGAACAAAATGCTTGTTAACCTTCCTCCAGGGACCCCTCAGCCTGAGCAGCCGATGCCCCTCCTGAGAACAGGCTGGCCTCAGGGAAAATATTATCTGTCTACTATCTGATGATGCTACTTTTTCATCTCAATTCCCCATGCCTGGTTCTTTCTAGCCTTGTTGACTCCTGTCTGTGAAAGAAAGAAACTCTTTTTGCCTAAGTTCTGGAGTTGCTTAAAGATCTTCTGTTCTTCCACTTGCAATAGTCTTTTATTATTGTAAAAATCCTTCTGAATAAAAGTCTCTTCTTGCTAAGTTTGGGTTTATGTTTTTATTTTGCGGTTGATCACCTTGTTGACAGAACTGAATGCTTCTTATCACTGCCAGAGTCAGGAACTCTTCTCATTGTAGCTAAAACATGGCCAATGAGCCTTTGCCCTCCCACCTCCAGTACCTGGAAATTGTTGCTTCCTTAGTGTCTGTTTCACTGGGGGTAGCCCTCGGTATGAGGAGTGTCTCCTTACACTGAGCAAAAATCTGCCACCTGTATATTCTACCCATGTGCGCCCTATCATGCTATGCAGAATAAATCTACTTCCTTTTCCACAAAATAAGCACTCAAGTATCATAATATTTCTCCCCTGAAGTCCCTACATGTTCTCCAGGTTAGTAAATACGTTTGTTACAGCATTCCTGAATTCTAGTGTTCAGAGAGCATGGAATAGTCCTTTTTACAGTTGCTTGAGAAAAAATAAAAAATTCAAATTACTGACAGTCTAAAACACAGGGTTTAACATTTCAAAAAACAAAATCCGCATCAAAATAATGAGAATGACTTCAAAAATGAGAAATTTACAAAAGAAGATAGCCACCACCATAAGCCCTTAGGAGAAGAGCAAGTGGCTGGAGATGGGCGCCCTCAACTTGGAGCCACAGGGAGCTTCTGGAGGTGTTTTGTCACTTCTTCAGCCAAAGCCAAAGAAGAGTGATTACCACCTTAGATGCAGACAAGCACGTGGCACTGTATTGGGCTTGCTAAAACAGTCATGTCTGGGTGGAGGCTGGGTAATTAACAAACTTTCCAGAAGGTATGAACAACTGAATAGAAAGAAATAGTGCGGCACTATTCACAATAGCAAAGACTTGGAACCAACCCAAATGTCCATCAATGATAGACTGGATTAAGAAAATGTGGCACATATACACCATGGAATACTATGCAGCCATAAAAAAGGATGAGTTCATGTCCTTTGTAGGGACATGGATGAAGCTGGAAATCATCATTCTCAGCAAACTATCGCAAGGACAAAAAACCAAACACCACATGTTCTCACTCATAGGTGGGAATTGAACAATGAGAACACTTGGACACAGGAAGGGGAGCATCACACACCGAGGCCTGTCGTGGGGTGAGGGGGTGGGGGAGGGATAGCATTAGGAGATATACCTAATGTAAATGACCAGTTAATGGGTGCAGCACACCAACATGGCACAAGTATACATATGTAACAAACTTGCACATTGTGCACATGTACCCTAGAACTTAAAGTATAATAATAATAAAAAAGAGAAAACCTGAAAGAGTAGCGTTAAATAAAACTAGCCCAGGAAAATTACCATCAGACTGTGGACAGGAATAACAATAATAATACAAGGTGAATTAACGAATTTTGAAATCAAATCCCAGCAGTACAACATGTGATAAAGTCTAGATACCAGAGAAACCAGAGACTTCTGACAACAGAGAGCCCTCATCACCCCCCAGTGAAGAGCAAATTCTTAAGGAAACAACTTCTGTTCCAGGACTCCTACTTGTTAAATTTTTTTTTTCAAATTTTAAAGATTAATAAAAGATTCTACAACTTGCCAAGGACAAAAAGGATAATGCCTAAGATTTCTTCCTGGAGACTTTGAAAAGGAAGAGAACCACAGGGAAGAGCTGAACAGTCAAAAGAAAAAAGCAAGTTTCCACTACAAGTACTACATTCAGTTATGTTGACTTTTCTTTTGAAGGAAGAAAAATATAGAGTAGTTGGAAGACATGAAAAAGAAAATCTGTAAACACAGTCCCATGACTGTAAAAAATCTTCCTAAGCAGCAATAGAGATCTGAGTACGACTGAAAAAATTACAATAACCCAAAAGATAGTTAATGACACATAAATCAATCAACGTGAAGTTCTGCTTCCAGGTAGCAGATAAAGAGTCTCCAGAGATGGCCATTCCCATCCTAACAGAAAGAGCTGGATAAACTGTGAAACCACAGACTCTTGTTGTAATTGTTGTTTGTTTAATGTATTTACTCATTAGAGAGCTGAAGATGCAAAGAGATCCAGGTGGACTAAATGCAGAAAGGCATAACACAGCTTGCCCTCCTCACTGGCAATGTGAAGGGAGAGGAAGAAGGCTGTTTAGGCAGGGCTAAGGAGAAAGGAGACAATGGGATCACAAACTTCAAAGGGTGTGTGTAGGCTGGCGTGATGCGTTGGACTCCAGAAGAGCACCAGCCATGGAATGAGTCTGCAGCCAAACATCAGCCCTTTCCCATGAGCTTCAACAAATGAACGGGGATATTAGGGGAAGGGCATGAATGCCCAGATACCCTGCCAGGCTGCCAGAATCTTAACCGGGGGTGCTATGGATGACTCCATGGGACACAGAGGAGAGAGAGGCCACTGAAGAACTGGGACTCATGAGCAAAGCTGGAGAACAAGGAACTCCCTAGAAACCCAAAACTCTGGCAGGTTGTAAATGGGGAGAGACTCTAAGAGTTCAGAAAGCTGGTCACTGGGATATGATTTTCTAAAAAACCTCAAGTCACATTGGTGTTCAGATTCTAAGCACTGCTAAAGAGAAATCCTGATACAGCCTTGCAACATTTTAAGCCAGTGAAGAATTGTTTTAAAATATAGTGTATTAACAGAAAGTTGAGGTACAATAAGGCCAACAGATCAGGAGACAACTCTCATTGCAAGATAGTTCATTACTCATAGGTCCCAATAGAAGAGGGACACCACCCTCAGGGGACCACTGGGAAGCGGCAGGGTTAGCCATGAGGCAGAGAGAGAGAGAGGAGCTGTGGGCAAGAGCCTTGGTGTGGGTTCCGTGGGAAGGAATTGGTAGAGCAGAGCAAGCAGGCTTAGCATTGACTAGTCTGAATCATTTCAGTGGGCTGTGGGGCACCCGGGCTATCCCTGGGACCTGGCCCTAGGTGAGTATTAGGGCAGGGTACAGTGGCCCAGAGTGTAAGAGCCTGCTTACAGGACAACCAGGAGGTGGTGGAGGGAGTGGGCTCTGGATTGGTTGCTTATATTTGAAAAGCCTGCTCTCTGTCAAGTTGTTTACTACCTCTCAGAACTGATTAACCGTGGGAGAGGCCGTCCGTCTAGCAGCAGTGAGGCTCCAGATGTCAAAGTATCAGAATACAAAAAATAAAAGACATGGTAAATACAGAACTAAGTCTAACTACGCAGTAGCACAGCCCAGACCCAGCTCAACACACACAGGATACCACCACACCCCACTAGAATGGACAATTTTAGAAAGACTGACAATACTGAGTGTTGGTGAGGATGTTTAGCAACTAGAACACTCACATATTGCTGGTAGGAGTGTAAAATAGTACAAACCCTTTGAAAATTAGTAATTTCTTGTAACTTTTCACATTGACCTACCCCATGACCTTAGTGTTTACTTGCAAAAACCTTAGTGTTTACTTGTAAGCCATAGAAGTGTATGTCCACAAAAATCCTGGTGCAAAATATTCATAGCACTTTATTCATTATAGTTCCAAACTGAAAAGGAACCAAAGATCCATAAGCAAAAGAATGCACTTACAAATTGTGGTTTATTTGTACAACGGAATACTACTCAGCCAAAAAAGGAACCAAAATACAAATAGGCACAGCACGGATGAAACTCAAAAATATTATGCTGAGTGAAAAAAGCCAGATATAAAACATCTCATGTAAGATTCTACTTACATGATGTCTCTGAACAAGCGGAAATAATCTAGAGAAAGAAACTGGAAGTAGGTATTTCTGGCAGGTAGGGTGGGATGGGAATTACATGGTAATGTGCATGAGGGCACATTCTGGGATGATGGCTGGTGGAAGTATGTAACTATCAATACTTAATTGAATGATCAAGATTTGTGCATTTTATTGTATGTAAACCGTGTCTCAATAAAAGACTTGATCAGAATATATAAGAAAGCAAAATGCATTCTGAAAAAACAAAGACCAGTAAGTATTGCATTTTACAGTAAAATACTAAATGGTAAGATATAATGGGGTGTCCAGAGAAGGCTATACCAATGCCCAATTTAGAGAAGTCCCCTAAAAAAGAGGTGAGACATGAAATAAACAGGCCATTATTAAGAGGAGCCTTAGAATTGCTCTTGTACATGGTGGACCTTTTAAATGGTGATTATTATTAATACAGTATAACTGTAAGAATGGTAGAAAATAATGGCATAATAAATCCTAGAAAATGAATTTAATAACATGCAATTACCTCCCATCCAATACAAAGAAAAATAAAAAGTTATTGTTTTATACAACATAAAATAAAAAGAGACAACAAAGGCTAGTTACAATATTGAACATATTGGAGAATGGGGTCCTATTCTCCAATAGGACCATTTTATATTTGGTATAAAATACCAAAATGGGCTGGACTTTTCTATAAAAAAGAAGGCACTTCCTGGAATTAATATGAATTAAAAAAAATTTGAAAGTATGTCACTATACAATAACACTTAAAGTCAAAATGCATTATATAAATACTAAAAAATGGGCAAAGCTTCACTCTACTAGCATGAGTATAAAATGTCAGAATTGACAATAAAAACTAGAGAATACAGAAAAGTACTTAAAATCTAAACATACAAATATGAGTCCTATTCATAAGCACAACTGCAATATGACATAACTGTATTAACAGAATATACAAAATCATACAAAGCAAGAAATAATTTTAAAACTTCAAAATTGTAATAAGCATATGTAAAAACTTGGGAATATTATGAAAATGAAATGTGTATTCTTATGTATAAGTGTATATAAGCAATTAATAAAACAATTATGAATAAACTATTTTTTCCTGACTTGGAATACTGAACATGCTAAAGATAAAAATTTTGCCTAAGAAAATACACCGAATTCATATAATCATAAATTTATCATAAGGCATAAATGATACATGGTACTTGCTAGGAAAAAAAAGTATATTTATATAGTCCACCCATCAGGGGCCAGAGTCTGTTAAACGACTTAGTTATCTTTTGTGATAATATTTTCAAACATTTGAAACATCAGTTAAACATATAAGAAATCTATTAAAAACCTTTTAAATGAAACCACCAAAAATTTCCTACCAGATTTGTAGTATACAACAAGACATTAATATTTAAAAGTATTACTGGTTTTGACATGTAGTATTTACTTTGTTTCTAAACAGCACATAATTTTAGTATGATTTCTTCTTTAAGCAAAAATGATTAAGACAATATTTTTTTCTACTGAAATTTTTTAGGACATACATTTGTGCACTTCTAAAGACTCTGGCTTGTTCATCTGCAATGCTATAGTTAGAACCACACCTGTATATAACAGGTTCTTGACTGAAAATTATTGAATGACTGTCTGTGAGTCTCACCTTTTTCAGTCCACTAGTTTTTTTGAGGGACCTAATGCATGATCCTTTTTTAAAAAATGCTCTAAGATGTTTTAAAGGAGATTATTCTTTTTTGGATACAAAATTTTATATGTGAAAATAACTCACTTGTTAAAGATTTCTTGTGTCTTCATTTTCTTGGAGACTAAAAATGGAAGACTTCTGGTAATGGTGATGGCGTCACTGAAAAACTGTCCCCCAGATAGCAGTGATGAAAACCAGACAGAAGGAATAATTATTGGAAGGTAGAAAGCCACCAAAAGCAGGCAGAAAACCTAGCAGAGTTTACTCTAAACAGACGATTACAACAAAGGGTAAGAATCATGAGTTTGTGGCTTTTTTGCCTGTGGTGGGTTTTTGTCAACCCTTTCTTTCTACTGGAGTCACAGGAAATCACAGTCTTACTGCCTCAAGGACAGAGTCAGATTTGGCAGAACAGTTGCAAATATGGGGGTGGTGGGGATCACTGAAGTAAGAAAGCCAAAGAAAGGGTAAGACTCCAAATCAGTACAAACTGCCTGTAACTCTGGCCAACCGAGGAATAAGCATGTACAGTGAGGAGTCTGAGGAGGTGGCCAGAAAGTAGGTGTAAATGTGAGAAGAGTCTATCATTAAAGGACAAAAGTGCATTAAGAAACATCAGTTTCTTGTTGCTGTTTTGATTGTACAACTTTCCCAACTCACCTGCAGTTCAGGTAATAGAAAGCAAAGCCTTACAGCTGGGATTAGCAGAGCAGCTGGGAAGTGAGGAGGAGCACATGGAAGCAAGGAAACAGAAAATGGCTGGGCCCAAAATGCCAGCATAAACTGCACAAGTACTTTGCTTGACCACTAACCTTCACAGGCACAGTGAATTCTGAAGAGGTCCAGGCCAATTTAGAAGCAGCTGTAAGCAAAAAGAACTAGGCAAATAATAAAGGAGATCTATATCCACACTGTGATTCCAGGCAGGAGCAGAAAACCATCAATCCTCAGAAGAAACAACAACAGAACCCAGAGTTGCTGCAATGTATCAACCAAATGTATGCCCCATACTGAAGGAGAAAAAACTAAAGAAATGGACTCCAAGAGAGCCTAGATGTTGTGCTCTGTAGACAAAGACTTCAAAGTAGCTATTAAGGGATGTTTAAAGATTTTAAGGAAAATGTGATCTTAATGAGTCTTAATGAGTGAGAGATAATCAACATGAAGAAATGAAAACTATAAAAATGATTTTATGGAATTTCTAGAATTGAAAAGTACAATAACTGAAATGAAAAACTCATTAAATTAACTCAACAGATGATTATAGAGGGCAGAAGACAGAATTAATCAACTTGAAGATAAGCCAGTATAAATTATCCAATGTAAAGAACAGAAAGAAAAAAAGATACAGGGAAAATAAACAAATCCTTAAAGACCTGTGGGATAAAATAAGAAGTTTTCATATGTATAATTTGGGCTTAGGAAGAGTAGGAAAGAGAAAAAGAAACAGAAAAATAACTCAGTAAATAATAAATGAAAATTTCACAGGTTTGGAGAATTTTGCAAGGTAGGAAATACAAGATTAATAAAAATCAAATATATTTCTATACTGAAGGAACAAACAACTGGAAATTGAAATTAAATTTAAACATTTCCATTCAATATTAAGAATAACAAAAGATATGCAAAACCTGTATAATAAAAACCATAAATATTACTGAGAGAAATTTTAAAATATCTAAATAAATGAAGAGATATGCCATGTTTGTAGACTGAAAAACTCAATCTGGTTAAGATGTCTGTTTTTCCAAAATTAATCTGTAAATTAAATGCAAACTCAACCAAAATCAAAACAGGGTTTTTGTAGAACTTGACAAGCTAAATTTAAAATATGCTGAAAATGCAAAGGTTAAGGGAATTTTAAAAAATAAAGTTGGACACCTTATAGTACTTAATTTCAAGGTTTACAATAATTCTAGAGAAGAGTCTGACATTGGCATAAGGATTAACTTATAGATGAATGGAAAAGAATAAATGGTTTGGAAAAAGGTCCCCACATATGGTGAATTGATTTTTGACCAAAAGAAGTCAAGATAATTCAATAGGAAAAAGGTAATCTTTTCAAAAAATGGTACTGAAACAACTAGATATCAACATGGGCAAAAGCAAACATCAACTCTTATCTCCCTCCATGTACCCAGAAAATAAATCTGAGAGCTAAAATTACAAACTTCTGGAAGACAATGTAAGAGAAACTTGTGACCTTGGATTAGGCAAATATTTCATAGACAGGACCAAAAAGTAAGCCATAAAAGAAAAATTGAGAAACTGAACTTTATCAAAATTAAAAAATTCTGCTCTTCTTAAAAGATATCATTAAAAATGAAAAGGCAAGCCACAGACTGAGGGAAAATGCCATATACACATATACTAGATGAAGGATTTGTATTAACTTTTTCAAGTCAATAACAAGAAATATGACAGAATAACAATAACAATAAAAAGAATAACAATAAAGAATGAGCCAAAGATTTGAACAGGCACTTCAAAAAATAGGACATAAAAATGGCTATCAACAACATGAAAAGATGCTCATCACTGGTGGTTATGGAAATGCATATTAAGGTGCACTAGACCTCTTAGACCTTCTAAAATTAATCTCTGTCAGTACCAAGGCAACCAAGGCAATACCAGTGTAATATCACATTTCACAAGTGCTGTTTTGACCTACATTTGATGTCATGGCTGAAAACTTTCAATTCCTTTATGCAGGCAGTTTGCTAAGCCACCACCACATCTACTTCCCTTACTAGGCACTAACGCTGCTGAATTATAATAAACACATACCCAACTGCCGGGGGCCCCAGGATATTTACGGCCCAGGAATGGACCTTCTTATTTGGAATTATTCAAAATGCCCAATGTCCAGGGATCCCAGCTAGCTCCACCAAGCTCACCCCACCCCGCTTGCCATACAGAAGATTATATTTTCCTTTAAATCTTTAAACATACCCTAATAGCTACTTTGAAGCCTTTCTCTGCAGAGTCCAACATCTAGACTCTCTTAGAGTCAGTCTCTTTAGTCTTTTTTCCTTCCGTATGGGGAGTACATTTCGTGGTTGTATAATTCCAGCTTGCTTTTACCCTGTCCCTGGATGCAGCCCACTGTGTAGCCCAAGTGGCAGCCTCTTCTCATTCAAAGCTGTAACCAAGAGTTCTGTCTTTCATCTGTCCAAGCGTCCTTGTGTGATATCCTACCATTCAGAGAACCCATACTCGTAACTATTATCATGTAATTATAAAACACACTGGAGCACTCATGCACTCCTGAAGGGAATGCTCAACAGAACAGCCACTTTGGAAAACTGTTTGACAGTTTCTTACGAAGTAAAACACATCCACTCACTCCCACAGTTCCATTCCCGGGAAGCTACCCAAGACAAATATAAACATATTTCTACACAAGGGCTTATCCATGAAAGCTCACAGGAGCATTATTCATACTAATCAGAAGCTTAAAATCTCAAATCTCCACCAAGTAGTAAATGAATGAAGTGTGCTGTGTCTATACAAGCGAGCACTGCTCAACAGTAAAAAGGAAGGGACTGATACAGGCAACAACATAGGTGAGCCTCAAAAACATCACCAAGTGAAAGAAGCCAGACACAAAGACTCACACTCCATGATTCTCAACTGAAATTCTGTAAAGCACAGGTTAAAAATAACCACAGTGATAATCCGAGCACTTTGGGAGGACAAGGCAGGCAGATCACTTGAAGCCAGGAGTTCGAGACCAGCCTGGCCAACATGGTGAAATCCTGTCTCTACTAAAAATACAAAAACTAGCTGGGTGTGGTGGTGGGTGACCGTAATCCCAGCTACTCAGGAGGCTGAGGCAGGAGAATCAAATCGCTTGAATCCTGGAGGCAGAGGTTGCAGTGAGCTGAGATCCTGGCCCTGCACTCCAGCCTGGGCAACAGAGTAAGACTCCGTCTCAAACAAAAAACAAAAAACAAAAACCCACAGTGAGACAAAGCCGAGCACCAGCTGCTTGGGGCCAGGGCTGGGGAGAAAGGTGAGAAATAAACTGCACCTTTAAAAGGCAGGCTTTTAATTATATGTGAGGTCTACCTCAGTAAGCATGATTTATAAAAGAAGAAACTAAAAACACTACGTGATTGATATATGACAGGGCATAACTGCATTAACAATGGCAACTTTCTAAAACTTCAAAAGCTAGAGTTTTTTTTTTACTTCGTTGAATACTGTAATGAAAGATTTCTAGTTGGAAAGAAATATGCAGCCAAAATAAAGAGAATTCAATTTTTTTAATGTCAAAAACTTTGTTAGGAATTTAGATTGACTTTAAAGTAGGTCTTCCAAAGTTCAACCATTTCTAAAGAAATTCCAACTGATGAAAGAGAAAGCACTACTGCCATGCTGAGAATTTTTTTATATTCATAAAAAGATGGGTTTATAAGAATATTTTTAAATTTTGACAATTATAGCTTCTATATTTATTTCTAGAATGTCACAGCTTGTTTAGATGCAATTATGAATATTGCAACACAATCAAATTCAAGGGGACTTGTACTCTGTTGGTTTCTTAAGTTAAATCATGGTTTTTATGACACTCTGCTCCTGCCAAAATTTATCCAAAGTATGAGTCAAAAAATAATTGTACTTTTAACACTGAATTCTTTAAATGAATTTAAAATACAATTTGCAATAGCATTAGATGTTTTAACTCACAGAATCAACTTCCAAAAGCTTTTTTTTTTTTCATCCAAGAATAGATTTGTTTTTAATTACTAACTTTGAAAATTACGGAATTGTTTTTCTACTTGAAGCATGTAAGACACTGATATAAAACTGACATTATTTAATGTTTTGCTGCTTTTTTCTTGTGCTATTGGAGTCAATGTAGTAGCAGGATTTGTTTTACTTTTTGCACAACTATTAGAAAATTGCAGTTGAAAATGAGTCATGTTAATCTAGGGTAAAATTCTCATCTGCTATCAATGAGCATTCATGGTTCAGAGAGTGACAAGTAAATATTCCTTCTACTGCCAAGTGTGTTACATCATTGTCTTGAGATCCTCTTCTTACTGTAACTATTAACTTTTGAACTAGAAGCTGATGTTTCTTCAGCAAATTTATGTTTTCCATTTTGTTTGTATCTGGCCAGTGAGTTTACTGCAGCCTCCAACAATGACTGGGCAAACTGTGCATATTAAACACTCATCAATATCCTTGCAAAAGCAAAAATCAATATTAAAAGTTGGCTAAATGTCCTCTTTCCCTCCCTGCTTCCTTCCTCATTGCTAATGAAAGGATTAGTTGCAAAATGGAAAAGTTCATAGAATGAGTTAGTTACTTTTGTTGTGATAATATTGGCTAACATGAAAACAAGCCCTTCATTCAGCATCCTGGGCGGGGAGGGCTGGGCAGCTCATCTCCAGACTGTAGTTCCATAGGTGGTGCAGGCTGAAGGACAGCTCTTACCTGACCACGCTCATCACTGCATAGAACTCTTGTCCCGCCAGCCTTCCTCAGCCTGTACCTGGGCTGCACCTATGCCTGCCAGCCTTCCTCAGCCTGCACCTGGGCTGCACCTATGAGGGATGACTGTCAATGTTCATCTTTTTGATAAGTTTCAGGTGCTAGATTTCTGTGTTTAATCAGGGATCGCAAGGCATTGCAAGGATAAATGATGGGGAAGAGTCAATGTAAGTGAGGTACACTTTACTCTCTGCATTCCTGGTATGTGCAATGACCATATTTACATTCTTTAGACAATGAAACAAAAGTCAAATTCTTGTCAGTTCCATTAGAATTTTTGAACAAAATGTTACTAATGAAACATTTCAAGAGTACTTAGTTCAAAGACTCACTTGCAGTAACTGAACTTCATTTTAATCCTTTTTAAAAATAAATTTGTATTCCCTACAAAGTTCCTCAAAATTAGAATATTGGACAGAAATGAATTTCTTTAAAACAAATATCCATTTATTCTCCTCTGCTTATAAAATCTTAATGAATGAGCCCTTCCTTCAGGCTTTCATTACTCATGGGAGCCAGAGGGGAGAGTCTTAGCATCTTCATTATTCTGATGGTGTATTTTCAATAATGACTGCGGGCTGCCACGGTAATCATCGTTCATGGTGCCTGGAGTGTGGAGAAGTTGCCTGTGAGATGTTTCCAGCACTCCAAATGGGCTCAGAGCTACAGAGCGGCTGTGGGGTAGGGCGTTCCTGAGGTATTAAAAGTAATGGCACCTACCTAATGTTTACAAGAGGTAAGAAATCATCATCAATCTCTTCAAGAGCTTCAGGGAGGTTGTGAGGGTCAATCTCTCTCAAAGTAATGAAGTAATGACAGGAAGGTTGGTGTTTCTAATCTCACTTTATTTAGAAAGGATTAAAATCTTAGAAATATATTGTGAGAGACCAAAATACACCTCCCAAAATAGGGAGGATTGTTGAGCTGAAGACAATTAAGAAGAAGCAGATACAGGAAAGCTCAATGCCCTCCCTCTATTTATAGGACATGGTGTTACAAAGACTAAAGGTACCCTACTTGTCCCCCTCTACCAGGGAGAACAGAGACCCTCCTGGACCTGAGATGGTACCAGAGGAGCCCACACTAACAAGCATCACAAACTAGTCTCTATCTGCCAGTTATTTGCCCTCCCCCACGGGCCCCCCTTAGAGAATCAAAGTCCTTTTCTTTTGTCTCCTTACTTCTCTAAAAATTTACTGTTCCTTGTTATCAGCTGGAATTCAAAGCCACCTCTTTGAGAACTACTCATTCTCTGGGTATCTCCCATGTATGTATGAAATATACATGTGAATAAACTTGTTGGTTTCTCTTAACTTGCCTTTTGTAACAGGTCTCCCCACTACAAACCTATGTTATTTTTCCCCTACAATATAAAGAAACAGCATGCAGTATTTTACATTTTAGGCTGCACAGCATGGCCCGTGTTTTGGCTGCATGTCCCTCATGTTTCAGAGGACTTGGTCATGGAGAATGCAGTGTGAAATGAGCAAGTTCATAAAGGTGGCCTAGGAGTCATGTCACCCAAGACTGTGAGCGTCACAGCAGGGGCACACACAACGCTTTCTGTGAACACAAAGCTGAGACCTTGTGAAGCAGGAGGCAGGTATTTGTCTCCACCCTTGAACTCCTGTAGAGTTCCATTTGTTCGAGAAGGGGTTTAAGGCATTCTGGATGGAGTAAGCAACAGAGCGAAAACAGGTGAACAGATGTATTGGCAGTTTTGTGTAGGTTCGATACAGAAGGAAGGGCTGGATGCAGCCATGGCAGAGGGAACTGCAGACCAGCGAGGAAGCTGTTGGATGCCAAGGTGTCTGTCTTCCCAAGGGGCTAGTGAGAGGGCTTCAAAAATTGAGTTATTAGGAGATAAGCGAAGTTTGGGTTTTGGGACATGTGTGACACTTTTCGTAAACATTAATCACATTTAATTTATTTGCTGAGGCTGTTGCCTTCCTTTACATAATATTTTATTTTAAAGGCAAATTCATATATATATGAATTTATATTTATATGAAGATATATATATTTTTATTGAATATATATGATATATATTGAATATATATATAAAGGAGGCTGTTGCCTTCCTTTACATAATATTTTATTTTAAAGGCAAATTCATATATATATGAATTTATATTTATATGAAGATATACATATATATATATTTTTATCTTCAATTTTACTTTCAATCTCCTTTCCCAGATGAGGAAAGTGAAGTGCATGCAACACAGATGGCCCCGGCAGCAGGTCTAGCCAGATCCAGCTCCCTTGCTTCAGGGTCTACTCTCTCTCGGGGTCCTGCAGAGCCTCTATGCAGATTGGATGTTGCTCTGTTCCACTTTGGGGAAAGGCGATCAGCACCTTCTCTCAAGGGTCTTCAAGGAATAAAGGATGAATGTTTTCAGTGCTTAAAACATCAGACTGGCATAAGACATAAGTGCTTAAAGACATCAGACTGGCATAAGATGGGGAAAAACAAGAAAATTTGTGAGTTAACTGGAGAAAAAAACAACTGTTCTTTCTGTGCACCCAAAATGGATCACTGAGTAACGATGTCTGAGACATTTATGCATTAGTGTCAAAGAATAATAGATTTTTAGTGTTGAAGGGCTCTTCAAATAATCTAGTCCAATTTGGGAAATATTTCTCTGTGAATTTGGCTCCCCATCCTCTGAATACTTAAGTAATAGGAATTCTAATGACTAGAAAATTTTTCTTTGTATCACTTCCCAATCTGCCTTCTTTCAATTGCCATCCATTTTTAGCCATTCCCTCCTAAGATTACCTAGATGTGGACATGCTCAGCATTTGGTGGCTGTCTTTGGGGTAAAGTCTAATGTATACTTTTGTACCTACCTTAGCCTGCTCATCAGGTGACAAAATAGGTTCAAATAACTGCTATTTGTAACCAGTATTATAAGAATCAAGTTATAGCATAGGCTAAAATTCAGACACTCTTCAGAGGCATTTAATTCTTATTATCTGAAAAATTTCTGTTTTCCTAATTAATGAATTGGCAATGTTTTTCCCCCTATATGATAATGCTTTACTCCATGATGGCTGATGTGCTTTCAAAAGACACTCAGTGAATGTGTGATTAAAGATAAATTCAGTTTGCAGCTGTCAGGATTGGCAAATTGTAACTGCTCTTAAGTGAAGGCATTTGTTTTAGAAAAGATGAGATGCAATTTTCAGAATTGGAGGTTTATGGATACCTCCTGGGGTAATGGACTCTTTTATACCTGAAGTTTATCTTCCTGAAAGACAAATAAAAGGTTTGGGTTTTGCTGTTAGTGTAAGAGCAGAATGTGTCTTCTGATCAACAAAGAGGGTATTTTACATTCCCTGGAAGCACCCACTGAAAATCCTTGCTAAGAATATTCATTGGCTTATTCTCCTGGAGACGGAGACAGATTGGGCAAGTCATCTACAGGGTTATTTGTCTTCACACTGTCTACCACTGACAGATCATTTCTACCAGAATGTGTTCCATGTAAGTGTTTTGGATGCAATTCAAGTTACCTCTGGTAATGGTGCCATTGATCATGCTGTGGATGTGGTAAAGATATCTGCCTGAGGATGAACAGTTTTATTGTATATTGTGACAATTGATTTTTCTTTTGCTGAAGACACAGGCTGGAGATATTTTAGAGCACTGTATTAATGACCAAGCAGCTTTTAACAGATGAATAATGGTGAAAGAGTATGAATGGATAATCTTCTAAAGAACAGAGGGCCTTGCCTGTGAAATACAGCCGGAAATTTAACCTCTTCTGCAGCTTGGGGCCACTGCCTGAGACTGGGCAAACTGCCATAGTGTTCAGGCAACAAGTCTTAGAGGTTGATTGAAAGAAAATTTGGAGGTGGATATTACCTTTAAGAAACTCAATTTGGGGTGGAGTCCCAGGGGGCCAATGGCAGGGAGAAAGCAGTCTTGAGTGTCTGGATTCAACAGTGGGCTCTTGACTTCCTTAATCCTCATATTAAGCCCACAGGGAATGAATGGAAGATTGTCCCAATTTTGTAAGTGAAGAAACTGAAGAGGGGAAGCAAATTAGACAAGGTGATAGGGATAAAGCTAGAATGTGCCAGTCTAGCTCCAAAGCCAAGGCTTTTTGTACTATTTCTTCAAGGAATTCAGTCTAACTTGACAGTTCAGAACACTGAACAAAAAAGCATCCATCAGTTGTTTTTTTCTCCAGTTAACTCACAGATTTTCCTGTTTTTCCCCTTCTTATGCCAGTAAATCATCTGGTAAGTGAATGAGATAAGCACTTAAAACATTCATCCTTTATTCCTTGAAGACCCTTGAGAGAAGGTGCTACAATGTGCTCTTCCTCCCATTCTTCCTGCCTCTGGGACCAACCCATGGTCTTTGTCATTACCCAAATCAGAAGTGGAGCCCCATTCTTAAACTTTTGATCTCCCCCTACCTTGTATGGTCAACCATGAAGTGCAGTTGACTTGACCTTTGATGTATCTCCTTAGTGCACCACATCTCCCTGTGTTCACTGCCCATGTCCAAACTATTGCCCTTCTCTGGATCACTGCAATAGCCTCTTTTCAGACACCCTTAACCAGAATGACTTTCAGGAGGTCAAATGTATTTGCACCATTTCCATCCTATAATCCCTTCTTTGGCTTGTCATTGACTCAGAATTAAATCTACTAATAACTTCCCTAATTAAGTATCAAGGTCCTTCCTAATCTAGTCGGCATCCATTCTTACATCCCTGCCTCACACTTTCCAACTCTCCCTCCAACTACAGGCTTAAGTAACAAATCTAGTGCATAAATATGGTCCGCTCCCACCCTCTGGACATATGCTGTGCCCACAACCCACACACTCCTTCTCTTCTTCTCCCATTCCATGACCCACTCCCACTCTGCAGCAGGCATTCTCCTTGCTCAATGCTGTGTCCTTCATAAATTCAATGGAAATTGCCTGTTTTCTTCCCATAATCTATGGTTTTGGAAGTTTTCCTATTAGCCATTTTTTCTTTTGTGGCGTACAGCAAAGGATGAGTCATTATCTGTTGAATGAATTAATGAAGGACTTTGAAATTCATCCTGGTATTTAATTGACACAAAGCAGCCACTGATGTCACTATGTTAAATATTTCCAAGTTACAGGTACCCAAAAGGATACAGAGAAATCAAGTTACTTGACCAAAGTTTTACTGTATAATACTCCATTGTATTACAGGGCAGTCTGATCATTGGTTTTCACATCAAGGGTCTTCAGTTATTAAGAACCATTTAAATTATGTTCAAAATTATTTTGCCAATAAGGTAGAGAAGTATAATACATTGTGGAAAAATTACCATCTAAAATATTGTAAGGTTTATGTGCTTAATATTGAAATAATGAGGCATCATTTTTCTATAGTTTAACAAAAGGTTGGCAATGTTATAATAAAATCAGAGGCTTTATACATTTACACAACCTTTTTTAAAACAACATGGTGATATGTATCAGAGTCATAAAATATCCTAAGATGTCAACCTAATAATCTCACTCCTGAGAGTTTCTCCTAATGTAAGAATTCAAAGGCAAAAAAGGCCATATACATTGTGATGCTTACTGCAGTATTACTCACTTCTTCCCCCTCTCTCCCTCACTACTTTTATCATAATTGAAGTAAAACAGCAAACACAAGTTATTTACAAGGCTACCTCACCTCTAGACTGTGAGATCATTAAAGGCAGGCACCATTGCTTGACTCATCTTTATACATGCAGTGAAATAAACAATAAGTGCCTCAGTGTTTTATAAGAGTGCCATATATATGCTACAATATATATAAAAATGCATGCACATACATACAACACACTTTTCTCCAACAATCTGAAAAACAAAGGGTCCAACAAAACATGGTGTCTATACAATTCCTACACTCAGTATCAATGGCATAAGAATACAATGGGATTAGGACTGTGGCTTCTGAGAATAGCCACGAGTGAAATCAACCTCCATTAGGAAGCAACCGGAGAAAGTTCCCACAAGGACCTCTGGACACACATTTATACAGACTCAGTGAGAGTTAAAGAGAAGCAGAGATGGGGAAGTGACGCCAGGGCTGGTCCTCAACAACAAGTTCAAGAGGCACAGTGTAACTGGTAATGGCCATGCCTAGTGGACACCAGTCTTTGATCTGAGTCCCTGGCTTTGTCTGAAATCCATTCCCAAAGGCATGGGAAGTTTGTCTTGAGGAAGCATACAAATAAAACCACCAGCACACACCTTCTGACCAGCAGTTTAGAAGTACACTTAATTCTGAAAAGTACTTCAGCCCAATAAACTGGTAGCAATACTTTGCGGCAGTCTGTCTGTAACTTTATTTATTTATCTTAAAAATAAGATTCTGCCCCAGTGCTTGCAAGCAAAAGGGCCATTTTAAATTGTTCTCAAATTTACAAAGAAGAGGTGCTAATTCAAAGATCTCAGGAAGAGATAAAAAACAAATTAAATTCCTATATGTAAGAGATCAGATGCTACCTATTCATCCTCCTTATCTAGTTTGTCAGAAATGAAAAGATCGGAGTACTATCTGAACTCTTTTCTGCTGATACTGAACACTAAAGCCTGAAATAGCAACAGCAAACACAGAGTTAGTATTAGTAAAGGAAGTGATGAAGAACAGCGTGAAAATACTTATTGCAGAGGCTGGGATACTGAGGTTCTTCTCTAATAAGAATAAATAATTAATACCCATTGGGCTTTATGCAGATTAATGGGATGTCATCTGAATCAACATTCCCACAAAATCAAAATGCAAGTAAAACAGAAGACACGTGTAAAATAAGTACATTAGCACTTCAGAGTAGAGTTCTTGACTTATGTTGGGAAATGCCAACAGGAGGAACTGAATAAAGCTTTTAAATATTTAAACATTTATTTATGTATTTATTTGTAGGGAAACAATTCACCAGCGAGTCATTTCCTCCAGGCTTCAGCACCAAGAAAAACAGAATTGTGTGTTTCTGCTAAATATTGTAGCTAATGCTTCCTATGGTTCTCTTTTTTGCTTTGGCTGCTAGCAAGCCTACAGTCTAATTTTATGCCAACCTGTACTAACTAGCTGTATATGATGATAGAGAGTGTATTTTTGTATAAAACCTTTCTGACTTAATTTGCCATTCAACAGCCATGTTTTCTCTGCCCTGATATTTTCCAATTTTAAAGTATTATTGCACGTTAATATATTTCCATAAACCCTAAAATCCGTAGAATACACCAAACATAAATTAATTAAGGCATTTGGAATCCATTTGAAGTCTCAAATTTATCTCATTTCATGTTTAAAGCCTTATAAGCACTGTGTTCTCTCAGTAAATTTGACTGGCAGGAAATATCCAAGAATAATATGAACAAGTGAGTGCCCGAAAGCAGTGGCTCTCAAAGCAGCAGCAGAAGCACACAGCAACAGAAGACCAGCAGCAACAGAAGCACACAGTGTTTGTTAAAATGCAAATTCTCAGGCCCCAGCCAAGCCTCTGGATCAGGCACTCTAGGGATGGGTCCCCAAAGTGTGTTTCACCAGGCCTTCGAAGTGGTTCTGCTACACACGGGGCTTTGGGAATCACTGGTCCTAAAAAGCAGGTGAGTGTTGTGTTGCGGGCTCTGCAGTTTTAGCAGTATGCAGTGCCTGCAGGAGAGCAGGAGGCAGGCACTGGCTTTCATTCTCCCTGCATTTTCAGTTTTCAGCCCCATCTTCTGGGAAGCTGAATCCATAAAGAGGAAGAGCCTAGAATGACACGGAGAAGAACACTGCTTGAAGGAGAAAGAGGGTATTTGCATGGCAAGAAAATAGTAACAGGAGAGCGGGACATGTGGGGAGTTGGACTTCCACGTTATGCACAAGGAACTGAGAGTACAAAAAATCTATAACCAGCTATAGACTTGTGTTTCTTTGCCTATTTTTCTGTACAACTTCTTATCTCTAACAGGTATTAAATAAGTAGGAGGCTATTGGCAACCTTCTTATTTTGACTTTCTACCTAACAAACCAAAATATAATTTAGGAGTATCTTTTCATAACAATATCTGGGCTTCAGCCAATCACAAACAGCTGAGCTTCAAGCAATTACAGGCAGCCAACTGATCAGACTATGCCCAAATAAGGGAAATGCCTCATCACACCACACCCAAATATGGCAGATGTCAGGCTGTAGCAAACCAGGTGACTTCTCCACTTTGCTTCTGTGTTCAGGCTATAGAAGCTCACTGCTCACACTGCTGGGTGGAACTTTCTGAACCTCTTCTGCTTCTGAGTGTTGCCTGACTCATGAATCCTTTGTTCAAATAAACTCTTAAGTTTAATTTGTCTAAAGTTTCTATTTTAACACTGGCAAATAATATATACTTATAAGGGTCTCAGCTTCAGTAGGCTTAAGAAGGAAGATTTCATAAAGCTATTAAAGACATCAGACCAGGATTAGAAAAGTCAGTCTCTGGGGAAAGATAAAGGATGTGTATCAAGATTAGCCTTGGGAGTGAGTCAAAGGAAATTACAAAAATTTCACTTTGCCTATCTTTGTTAAGAGGGTCAAGATTTTTAGAAGGTTTATTCAGGAATATTTTACATACCATAAAACTCACCCAGTGTAAGTGTACAATTTAATGAATTTTAGTGAATTTAATTAATTGTGTATCCACCTAACAACTCAATTAATAAACATACCATCACCTCAATAAATTCCCTCATGATGATTTGCGACTAATCTCCACTCTGATTATAGCTCTTGGCTACCACTGATCAATTTTCTTCCTATATAAATTTGCCTTCACAAAATATTTCAAAGAAATAGAAGCATAAAATATGTAATCTTTTGCAACAGCTTCTGTATTTGAGGTTCACCCATGTTGTAGTATCATTAGTTCATTCCTTTTTACTGATAAACAGTATTCAGTACATGGATATACTACATTTGTGTATCCATTCACTGGTTAATGAACATTTGCATTATTTCCACTCTTTGGCCATTAATAATAATTCTAGGAATAATAATAATCTGCTAGGAACATTTGCATACATATCTTTGTGTGGAAATATGTTCTCATTTTGCTGGGATATAATCTCAGGAAGGAATAACTGGGATATACGGTAAGTTTTCTTTAACTTTTTAAGCAACTGCCAAACTGTTTTCCAAAGTAGGCGCACCACTTGACATTTCTGCCAACAATATTTTTCCATTTTCTCCACATCTTTGCCAACATCTGTACTTTCTGTCCTTTTTATTACAAACATTCTAATGGGGTACAGTAGTATTGCATTAGACTGTTCTCATACTGCTAAATATCCTAAGACTGGGTTATTTATAAAGGAAAGAGGTTTAATTGACTCACAGTTCTGTGTGGCTGGGGAGGCCTCAGGAAACTTACAATCATGGCAGAAGAGGAAACAAACATGTCCTTCTTCACATGATGGCAGCAAGGAAAAGTGCAGAGTGAAGTGGGGAGAAAGCCTCTTATAAAACCATCAGCTCTCATGGGAACTCACTATCACAAGAACAGCATCAACCCCTAGGATTCAATCACCTCCACTATTTCCCTCCCACAACATGTGGAGATTATAGGAAATACAATTCAAGATGAGATTTGGGTGTGGACACAGCCAGGTTGAGGTTGAGCATCATCTTAATTGGTTATTTGTCATTTGTTTGTCTCTTTTGCTGAACTGTCTTTCAATCCTTTGCCCATTTTTAAATAGGTTGTCTTCTTTTCAAGTTGTGTGAGTTGTTTATATACCCTGGATACAAGTCTTTTATCAGACACATGATTTACAAATGTTTTCTCAAAGTTTGTGGCTTGTATTTTCATTTTATTTGTTGTGTGTTTTGAGATGCAAAAATTTTTCATTTTGATGACAATTTATTAGTTTTTTCTTTTGTGGATTATGATTTTGATATTAATTTTAAGAAATATTTACACAACCTATAGTCATAAAGATGTTCTCCTATCTTTTTAATCTAAAAGTTACATAGTTTAAACACTCACATTTAGGTCTAAGGTTCATTTTGAGTTAATGTGTATACGGTGTAAAGTAAGGGTCTAAGTTTTATTTTGCATGTGAATATATAATTGTCCCTGCACCATTTGTTGAAAAGACTATTCTTTCCCGATTGAGGTATCTTACAACATTGGTTGAAAATAAATATGTAAAGATTTGCATACTGGATTTCTTTCGGGACTGTCAATTCTTTTCCATCGTCTATCTTTGCACCAATACCATGGTATCTTGATTATTGTGATTTTCTAATAGGTTACAAAGTGGGATAGTACAAATTTTCCAACTTTGTTCTTTTAAAAATTTCTTTTGGCTATCCTTTACATTCTGCATGAATTATAGGATCAGACTGTCAATTTCTACAAAAAACGTATGCTGGGATTTGTGTAGGAATTGTACTGAATTTATATTTTAATTTGGGAAGAACTAACATCTTGACAACATTGAGTCTTCTACTCATGAAATGTCTCTCCATTTATTTATATGTCCTTTGATTTCTTTCAGCAATATTTTGCAGCTTTTAGTATACAAATTTTGCATTGTGACATGTGTTTCTAAGTATCTATTCTTTTTGAAGCTATTCTAAATGAAATTATTTTCTTAATTTCATTTGTATTATCCATTGTATACTACAAAAATGTATATTTTTGTATATGTATCTGGTATTAATCTTTATTAGCCTCCATAGTTGTGTGTGTGAATGTGTATGCATGTGTATGTGTGTGCATGTGTATGTGTGTGTATGCACGTGTATGTGTAATTCTTGGTATTTTCACATACAGGAGCATAACATCTTCTAATAAAGGCAGTTATACTTCTTAATTTCCTTTTCCTTCCTCTTTTTCTCCTGCCTTCTCTTTCTCTCTGTATATAAGACCTCCACTACATTGATGGATGAAAGTGGTCAATATGGATATCCTTACCTTCTCCTAGATTTTAGGAGTATTGAGAGAGTATTCATAATAGCTTTAGCTGTGAATTATTCATAGTTACTCTTTATCAAATTGAGAAAGTTCCCTTTTATGCCTAGTTTGTTGAAAGCTTCAATCATAAATGAGTGTTGGATTTTTCAAATTCCTTCTTTGCATCTGTTGAGATCATATGTGGTTTTTGTTATCATTTACATTATTAATGTATTATGTTAATTGATTTTTGAGACAGTAAACCAAACCTTGCATGACTGAAATCAACTGCATTTGGTTAAAGTGTATAATTCTTTATATGGTGCTGTATTCAGATTGCTGATATTAACTCATTGTTAAGGAGATTTCCATTTATGTTCATGAAATAAATTTGTTTCTACCTTTCTTTTTTGTGGGGTGTTTTTGTCTACCTTCAGCATTGTGGTCACAACAAATGCAGAAACTAAACAGGGAAGTGTTTCCTTTGCTTCTATTTCCTGGGTGAGTTTGTAAAAGATTGGTATTATTTCTTTCTTTGAATATTTGAAAGAATTCACCAGTAAAGATATGTAGGCTTGAGCTTTTATTTGTGGGAAGCTCTTAATTATTAATTTGTATTTTATTTGTTTTAGGACAATTCAGAAATGAACTGAGTCAGTTTTGGTAATTTGTGTTTTCCTAGGAATCTGTCCATTTCTTACAACTATTCTAATTTGTTGGCAAAGAGTTGTTCATAGTATTGCCTTGTAATCATTTTCATTTTTGTAGGGTTAGTAATGATGCCCCTCTTTCATTCCTGACTTGTGTCTTCTCTAATTTTTTCTTGGTTAGTTTAGTGAAAGTTTTGTCAATTTTATCAATACTGTTAAGAACCAGCTTTCAAAAACTAACTTGGTTTTATTTACTTTTTCCTAAGCTTTACTAGTTTCTATCTAATGGATTTATGCTCCTATTTTTGAGTTCCTTCTGCATGCTTTTAGTAAAATTAGCTGATCAGTTATTAGTTCCTTAAGGTAGAGGGTTACATTGCTGATTTGAGGCCTTTCTACTTTTCAGAGATAGGTCTTTAAATCTATACATTTCCTTCTAAATACTGCTTTAGCATCATCCAATAATCTATAGTGCATTCTGTTTTCATTATTAAATCAGTTCAAAGCATTTTCTAAAATCTCTCAGATTTCTTCATTGGCCCTTGGGTTATTTAAAATGTGCTGTTTAATTTCCAAATAATCTCCAATTTCCCAGATTTCCTTCTGTTGTTGATTCTAATTTAATCCTTTCAAATTCTGTTGTGTTCAAAAAAGAAACTTTATATGATTAAGTCCTTTAAATTTATTGAGACTTGTTTTATGTCTTAGCATAGGGTCAACTGTAGACAGTGTCCACCTGCACTTGGCAAAAATGAGTATTCTTCAGTGGATGGGTGGTATATTGTACATATATGTCAGATCAAGTTCACTAGTGCCATTCAAGTCTTCTATATTATTGTTCATTTTCTGTCTAGATTTTCTAGGAATTATTTAATGGTTTATCAGAATTTGCAACTACAATTACTTAAGCCTCTATTTCTCCTTTGAATTCTATCAATTTTTACTTCATGTATTTTGGGGCTCTGTTGTTAAGTACATGTATGTATATAATTTTACTTGCCTTCTATCAGTATCCTGACAGTTGTTCCTCTGTTCCTCCTTGACTGCCTTTTAAAATTAGATATACAATTCTTTCATGTGCCATGTTTAATTCCTTTATTAATTTTCTTAGTGATTGTTCTAGGAATAACAAAATGCATCTTAAGTGATCACAATCTATGTCAGGTTAATACTAATTTAATTCCAGCAGAACAGGAAGTTCTTTTTTTCTATTTTTTTATTTTTTCTCTCATATATGCACCAAGAACAGGACCTGTCATGGAAACGCAATGTTACAGAAATAATGAAGGCAGCCCACTACCTAAAACTCAGTAAGAAAACTCATCTTGCTGACCAGAGGAATTGGGAAAATGGTAATTGATGTACACAGAAAGTTGGGAATCTCTCCTTATACTTTTCTCTCTTTTGTATCTCTCTGCTTTATTTGGATGTGTTGGTATTATTTAAATAGATATTAGTTAATTATACATATTGCAAATATTTTCTCAAAACATGTGGGCTATATTGTGCTTGTTTAATAGTGTTTGGTGAACAAAGATTCTGAATTTTAAAAAGTTCAATTTGTAAATTATTTCCTTATGTTTAGTGCTTTTAATGTTCTTTTAACCTTTGCATACTCAAAGTGATAAAGCTGTTCTATGTTTTCCTCTAAAAGCATTATTGTTTTAGCCTTCATATTTAAATCAGCAATCTGTTTGGAAATGATTTTTTGTCAAATGTGAGGTAGCAATCATGATCTCTTTTATCTCCATACTGCTATTCAGTTGGTCTAGCACAATTCACTGGAAAGATTACTCCTTTCCCACTGTCCTGTGATGTCAGGTTAGTCACACAGCTGGTGGTCTTACATGCACAGGCCTTTTCTGACTTTGTCCTGTTCCATTTGTCAGTCTTTCTTTGGGACCAAACCACAACGGGCTAATTACTATCTCTTGGAGTGAGTCTAAATATTTGTACATTTTCCAGCTTTGTTGTTCCTCTTGGATATTTCTCAAGCCAGTCTTTAGCTTTTGTATACCATTTGGATTTTAGAATCAGTTTGATAATTGCTACAGAAAACCATTGGATTTTTGGCTAGAATTTTGTACTGAATCAATAGATTACTTTGAAGCAGACTCACATCTTTGTGTTATTGAGTCTTTCAATCATGAACATGATATATCCCTCCTTTTACTTAGGTCTTCTTTAATTTCTCTCAATAAAGATTCATGTTTTTTAAGTATGGAGACTTTTCACAATTTTGTTAGATTTACTTCCAAAAGTATTTGATTTGTATGATGTTATTTGAAACTCTAGTTTTTAATTCACTTCTATTTCTTTCTGGTATACAGAAATACAGCTGATTTTCAAACACTGATCTTGCTAAACATCCTTGTTAAAATCAACTGTTCATTTTGATATTTGTAAATTCCTTTATTTTTTATGGGCACAATCACGTAATCTGTAAATAATCACAGAGAATTTTCATAAAATTTGTATTATTTCCTTGGTAAGAATTTTGGAAGGATTCAATGGTGAGACCACATAGGAGCAGGCTTTTCTTTGTGAGAGGATCTTGATATGACCACACACACACGCACACACACACACAAACACACACACACACACCATTCCGTTTTGTCTAACCCACTGCATGACATTTACTACCATCTTATCCTACTCTATGAAATACATAGGAAAACAAACAAAACTCTGCCTAATTCTCAGTCAGTGCTTCTTACATATTTTCCCATGAACGTATGTTTAATAATTTGACGTCTCAGTGTTTATCTTTAAAGTGTCATAAATGTTTTTCACTTTCCTCCAAAAAATGTTTTCCTGTAAAAATAAAGCTGCAAATAATAATCATCAGGTGGCAGTAATACTTCAGGGAGATATACAACCTTTATATCCAGTGGCTTTGTGCTTTTGGCATATGTCGTATCCTCCCTTGGATACCATATTCCACCTTTGAGAAGCACAGCTAATTCTGACAAAGTCCTCATATTTCAACACCAATGTCCTACTTTTATCATTTTTCTTCTTTGGATCCATAAAGTAAGATGACATGTATACTTGCAGAATGGAGGTCTTCTGATCGCTAATGGGAGCCTAGTGCCTACTTAATGCAGACAAGCATGTCTAAAACTAAGGGGTTTGATCGGAATGGGTGCTGTGCACCTATCACCAGAGAAAAGCTGAATAGTTGAAAGTCAAATAACACTCACTGTTTGTATCATTGTGGGGGGGTGGAATTTAAAAACAAATAATGCCATGCAACATCCATTTTATCAAAAGAAAAACACTGGGAGATTGATCTGCACAAGTCAACAAAGTGAATATATTAAAGTACATTTGATTTGTGATCATTTATTTATATTCAAGGCATTCTTGGTTTCCAACTTCTGCTCCTTTGATGCAAGTGACTTTGGCAGCTAGCAACTGAACTGTAATTTTCCTTCTGTCGGAGAAAGAGCTATTTAATGCTACAGGTCAAGACATGCCAGAGTGAGGAGTAAAGGCTGGTCTACGGAGATCAAGAGTTAAAACCTTCATATTTCATCCAAGATAAGTCTATCCAAGCTTTTAATTTCATATAAAGCATTCATTTCTGATGTCCTCTAATCTGTGATATATCAAACATATAATTTTTTTACAAGAACATTGTTTATGTGGGGAGGCAGGGTTGGACTACTGTAAATTATTCATTAATCTCAGTCAGTTATTATAGAGCATTTGTTTTTCATAGAAACTGTTTTCATTTTTCAAGCAGCTCTCTTTTACTAAGAATTTCAAACCCCATTTTCCCTGTCAAGGTCAGAATACCCTATAACTAGAGACAGCTGAAAGCCAAGCTCTATCTGGTGAATAAAAGAAATGTAATTGTATGTGCATGATTAGATACATTTAAATTTATTTCCAGTTATACTCCCCAAAATAAGTTGTTGATGTTTTGATATAACTGCATCAAGCCTTATAATAGAAGTCTTTCTGTAATATAAATCTAGCTTTAAAAAACATATTCATCTCCCTTCTAAAAATCTCTAATGGGCCACCACAAAATCTTGCCTTATTCCATCCCATACTGCCTCTCAAAATATAGAGTTAAAGGGTCAACATTTAGAAGTTTACCATCAGGACAACAACCATCTCCCAAAACCATCAATGCAATATTAAAACAAACTGTGAATCTCTGGGTATATAATATTTATAAAGTGTTTAGTTTTTGTACATTTTTTTACTCAAAAATATAACTATATCTTAAATGAAAAAATTGAACACAGAAATAAATTACTTCTTTGTAAATTTAACATTTCTGCACACTTTTAAGTATTAATTCAAGTAACTGCTCAATGTAGTTCTCTGACTGTATGCTCTAAGAAGGATAAATCCTAAGGGCAAAAGAAAAACTCTAAAAAAATCTTGAACACTATTCAGTAGGTTTCAGGTTGGTGGTAGTCTCAATAGAATTTGTGCCATGTGTCTTATGGGAAAGAAAAAATAAGTAAATATATTGATGGTGTTGGGTTATGTATATAGAGAGATGGGGCAGGAGAGAACCAAAGACAGAGGGCCAAAGAAAGAGACAAAGCAAATACGGCAACGTGTTAGCAACAGGTGTAGCTAAAGGTATACAATTGTTCACTGGACAGTTATTTCAACTTTTCTGTAGGTTTGAAATTTCTCTAAAAGCAAGAAAAAAAAATCCAGGGGTTGAAATCCTGTCTTCTCACCTATTGTTAACACTCAAGCTAGGATTCCCGGCTATCTAATGCCAAGACTTAGTCTATAATCAAAATTTACAGGAAAAACATGGAATATCTTGGGTAGTTAAGACGCCAAATATTTAAGCAACCCATATTTAAGCCATTCACTAAACCCCTTGACGCAGTGAGAGTTGTTGTCGTCCAGTACCCCCGACATGCAGGGCACATGGCCTGAGCGCCAGCCCTCAGCTCTCCCAGCAGACCAGAGGCGCTCACTCGGGCTCCTCAGCGGGTGTGCTGAAAGCCACACCGAGACTCTGCCAGATTCTCCATCTGCCTCTCCTTCCCCAATCCCAGAGTCTTCTTCCCCCTTTATTAGTGTTAATTAGTGGTAATTAACACTAGTAGAGTAAACTGTATTGATTTCCCTCCATCTCACAGCTGGTGTCTCAACATCATTTTTTTTTTTAAAAAAAAAACACACTCCATGCTCAAAGTCCCCCTCGTTCTTGTCTAATGGAATCCTACCTCAGGATTTCTTCATAATTAACATGCACAAGAGACCAGCCAACCCTATATAAAGTACACTCTGTGACATCTTTGTTTTAACACTGTCCACTTGCCTTTGGAGGACTGGATGTACTATGCTACAATGATTATGACATTCCTAACACAGTCATCTTGTTCTTTCAGGTCTATCCTTCAACAGCAACATCATTCCCTCTTCCAATTATTTACCTCAAGAGTTTTACAATGTGTTGTAGTAAAATCTGGATATGTACAGGTACGTGGTCGAAGGTACCCATGGAACCTCATGGCCCGCACAATTTCGACTGTCATGACAGACTCTGGGAATTGTCTGAGCACCATGACCACCCCTGTGTCACCATCCACCAACACATGCCTGCCACATACCAAACCCATGCCACACAGCTATCAAGCCTCGGTCCAGCAACCCACATGAACGGCCGACAGCATCACAAGTTAGCTCTGAATGCTCTCAACCAGGGGTCCCCACAGCATACCCTGGGCAACATCCAGAAAGCCCAGTCGCTCCTGTCAGCGAGGCCACTCAGATCCTTGTAGACTCCGGCTGTGTCCCCTCTGTCCGCTGTTTCCCAAGCTCTGCTCAGCCTCTTGTCAAACTGCCCTCCGGGCCATAATTCTCAGGCCCAGCCAGCCTGGGTATGCACTCTTGTCAAAAACCGTCTTATAGTGTAATGCCCTCAGTACCTCAGGTACAGAGTAATCATCGTTTGTCAGGATGAGGAAACACTCTCCCATGACAAATTAGGATCAAGGACATCCTGCCACTTCATTTTCATAAAGTAAGCAAGGCTTCTGATCTACCAGGGGCTCTCACTGGGAATAGGAAGGGACTCTCTTCCTGCCTAATTTGCTTATGAAAAATATTCAATTATGTTCCAAGTTTCATTCACTTAGTAATGAAAAGTAAATGAGCCCAACCAGTGTGTTTAATGTGTCTTGGAAAGATAGAAACAGCTTTGCAAGAACAAACAAAGTTAAATTAAAATAAGTGACTCTCCTCAAAGGTGGAAATTGAATTTCTCCCCAAAGAACTTCTTAACATCCATAAAACATGGTGCTGATGCCAGTAAGAGAGAGAAGGCCTTGCTACAGAACCACTGTGGCTGAAAGATTACACACGTGTGTACGCATGTGTATTGATACATAGGATGAAACTCACGTATCCGTATGTGTCCCGTCTACCATGAAGCAGCACATGGGTTGTGCATCAGGGTGGGAGGTGCACCCCGTCACCAACGGGGATCTCACATACCATTTTTGCAGATGGGACAGCACTGATCAGGCTCGTACACAGGGTCCACACACTCCGTCTGGGGACACGCTGACACTGTGCATAGCACCTCACCGTTGGCTTCACAGCGACACCTCTCGCATGGAGACACCTGAAACACAAGCCCACAATCAGCACTTTAGCCTGCTGTCATGTTTATCCTACAGGGTCATATATATTTTTTTGAAATGGAGTCTCGCTCTGTCGCTCACACTGGAGTGCAGTGGTGCGATCTCGGCTCACCGCAACCTCTGTTTCCCGAGTTCAAGCGATTCTGCTGCCTCAGCCTCCTGAGTAGCTGGGATTACAGGCACCCACCACTATGCCTGGCTAATTTATGTGTTTTTTATAGAGATGGGGTTTAACCATGTTGGCCAGGCTGGTCTTGAACTCCTGACCTCAAGTGATCTGCCCGCCTCAGCCTCCCAAAGTGCTGGGATTACAGGAGTGAGCCTGGCCCTACAGGGTCATACTTTTCTTTCCCTAAACTTTCTGCGAAGACACCTAAGTGTTTTAGGAATGTTTAAAAAATGATCCAGCCCAGTGGTTTTCAGAGTGTGGACACAGGCATGCTGGGTGTTTGGTGAGTTGTCTTAGGTGCAAACGCACAGGACGGGCCACAGGGCTATGATGTTCCCTCTCCTGTCCAGCCAGAGCCACTGTTTAATTTGTGGTCTGCATATTGGGTTTCTTATTAAACTTTTTTTTGAAGAAATGTTTTTCATCTCTTTAAAAATTAAACAAATAAAAACTTGCTGCTGAGTTCTTGCCCATCCCCTCACCACGTAGGTGAATCCCTTGTCTATAACCCTGTCAAGTCACCACCCAGACTCACATGGAACACTCCCAGTGTTTCCAGTTACGAAGACACTGGAATAGGAAAGGGGAAAGGGGTGAAGGAGGAGAAACAGGGTGGCATCCAAGCGGGGCCAAGGGCCGGGAGCTCTATGAATATTCCCTCACTGAACTTTTACAGCAGCGCTAAAATACACGTACTCAAATTACTGACCCTTTGTACTAACAGGAAACTGAGACTCAGAGGTGTTAGGCAACATGCCATGGGCATGTCTGTCCTGTGAGCACAAGGTCCTCTTCCACTGAGGGCTCCTGACTGCGAGTCCATGGTGATTCCAATTTCCTCCAGGTCATTCTGCCCACTATCCAGCATCACGATGCTCTGTTAGAAACCAAGCTTCCATTTGCCTCTCTCTACTTTCCAGCCATGGGCTCATACTCTGCCTTCTTGAGCTATCCAAATCAAGCATACCAGCCATTCCCAAGAAAGCTGTACGTGGCTAACGGGACCCTCCATGGTCACTCACACAGGGCATGGTGATTTATCTCCTGGTTACCACCAATGGAGTGATTTTTGATCTGGCTGACCCAGGACAAAGCAGGAAGAGCATATGCAGACCCAGCCATCAGAAGCAAAACTGGGAAGTGGGGATACTCACTAGAAAGACCATGGAAATGGGGGACATGGAAATGGGTCGTATCAAGCTGAGTTCCTGCTTTGCCAGGGGCAGGGAGACCCCAGTTGAGTTGTGTGCCCCACGTCCATGATACAAATACCGCTTGTAAGGTAAAGAACATGAGTAACTCTCACAGATGCTCCCTTTGTCTATACAATGCAAACACTAAAAACTGAAATCTCCACTGAGTGGACTGGCTATTACGAGAAGCAAAAGCTCAACTGGAGTTTAACCATGTCTCTTTCTGAGGCACTAGACCACAGTCAACCTGCCTGGGAGTGAGGGCTAAGGAGTGTGTGTATGTGTACTTGGCCAAAAAAATGTAAAAAAGAAAGGAAACTTTGAAAAACTTTAGTGTAGCCTGAGACAAAACACTGACCTGGTTGGCAATGTAGCCTTAGAAGTTAAAATCAATCTTGAAGTAATATAAAGGCCTGTTTTTGAGATGAGTTTCTTTTGTTGTTGTTGGCACAATTAGGTTTTTTTTTTTTTTTTTTTTTTTGCTACCATAACCAGTGGTGCTCTTTATTGTTGCTGTCATCATTGTGGGTCTCATTTCCTTGTCTCCTACCAATTCCCTCATTCAGTCTGTAGCATTTTTGTCTCAAGGGGGATATATACATAGCAAGCAGAATGAGAACAGAATTCTGAGTTTTAAAAGCCAAGACCTTGAGTTGCAAGAGACATGGTTTATTGCATGTCAGAAGCCTTCAGCTGGAAGGACTCAGAGCATAAGCCCTCAAGCCCAGGTGGTGTGGATTACATGATGGAGAGCCAGAACACCCTGCCCCAGGGGAGGGGAGCACCATCCCCCTATAGAGATCAGGATAGTCAGCAAGGAGCAAGCGGGTCAGATAGTGAGGTCTGTCCTCACGAAGCAGCACAACGTGGCATCTACTCCTCACCTAGGCATACACCAGGGAGGGAATAAAAAGCACCATTTCCATTTGGGAATTTAAAAGAAGGCCAGAGCACACCCTATGTCATATCGCCGGGGAGGGCCCTGGAATACAGCAGGACCAGAGATAAAGGTCCAACTGCAACGTCAAAAAGGCTCCAGGTCCTTAGGCAGCAGGCGCTGAATCAGCCTCGTCCAGCAGCTTTCTGCATGAAGGTGCACACCTTGGCAAATGGAGCAGAGATCACTGGCCTGGAAAAAAAACACTTCTTACTGCCACTGGAGCTGAAATTTCATTGAATCCATGCCACAGAATACTGCTTAAAGGCATGCACACAGGCCAGCATGCTATTTTCTCAAAGGTTTTGTAGCTTTGTAAAAAATTTGATTGTCAGTTATATTGTCATTAAATATTTAGAAATCCTGATTCAGCCGCACTCATGTGCCCCATAACTGGGTCAAAAAGGAACTGCATATACGACGTGGTCCCATGGATTACAATGTCTTATTTTTACATATCTTTTCTATGTTTAGATACAAAAATACCATGTGTTATAACTGCTTACAGTTTTCAGGACAGTAACGTGCTGTGCAGGTTTGCAGCTTGGGAGCAATAGGCTATACCATATAACCTAGGTGTGTAATAGGATATACCATATAACCTAGGTGTGTAATAAATAGGCTACACCATCTAGATTTGTGTAAGTTCACTTTATGATGTTCACACAATGATAAAATCACCTAAGGATGCATTTCTCAGAATGCTTCCCTGTCATTTAGTGATGCATGATTGTATTTGGAGATTTGTTCACTTCTAAAAAATCAGAGTTGATGCTTAGAATTAGGATCGCCAATCAGGCCTCACCTCCTACCACCTACATCTGCCTTCACCAGCACCCATGCTGGGCTCCTATGTACTCCCATCCCAGGTTTGGGCCTGCCTCAATTCCCAGAGGAAGTGAGGCTGGTGACAGCAAGTGGCAAAGCTGTGTGAGTCCCTCAGATGCCAGCCAGGTGCCCTGCTAGTTCTGCCTGGGCAGAAGCCCTCAAGCTGGTCACCGGCCCTGAAGTCAGAGTTTCTCATCTGATAGGGACATTCCGGGACCCCTACCCAGGATCCAGGTCACATAAAAGAACCCTGCCTTCACTTGGTTTATGTTCCCATCTCCTGCAGGCGGGCTGTCCTAGGCCTGAGGCAGTTCCAATCCTAACCCATGAACCCACCTTCCAGTAAAACCTTCTTGCCTCACCATCTCAGACCACCTGCTGGGCCACTGGGCCACTTGCCAGTGTTGGGCCCTGATCACTGATCAGACTTCACCCAACTAAGCAGGTGTGCCCAGACTCAACAGATGAAAATAATGCCCTGCCCTTTTCAGCCATGCCAACCCCCTGAGCCCACTCCGCCATGCTCCTCGTTTGGTGAAGCAGTGGCCTATGCCCCCTCAATGCTGTCCTGTCTCGCTGGCTCACATTTGATAAGCTCCTACCTGTCATGGATCCAGCTCAAACGTGGCCTCCTCTGCAGAGCCATCTTTGATACCAACCTGGATGAAAATGGGCACTTTCCCTCCATTAAGACATCACTTGAGCTCAAACCTAGGCCTTGCACAGCCCTCATGTAAGGAAGGGAATGTTGTTAAAGTAGCAAAATAAAACAAACACAAACCCCAATGCCCACGTGAACTCAGCAGCCAGCTGAGGAAGATGCAGCCTCACTACATCAGGGAGGAAAAGCCACCACTGAACTCCACACGAGTCCTCCAGGGACATCTGACAGAGACCCAGCTGGATTCAGGCCAGCTCTTCCCTACACTGGCTCCAGTCCCTACACTGCCTAAGGACCCTCATTCCAACACAGGGCTCTGTTTGGTGCCCCAGGATGGCCACTGTACACTCATAAAAGCAGCTTCCTGCTCAGAGTCCTCCAGGACAATGTGCTAGTGCCTTCCACCTCCTGAGATACAGAGAGGCTGCCAAGGAGCAGATGGAAGCTGCAGCCGTGGCTCCAGCCGTGGGTTCTAGCTTTGACATGAGGCTTTAATCCCCAGTCATCAGGGCCAATCTGGCATTCTGGGTCACAGTGACCCTCTTTTAGGCTCATTTCACCAACCCATAGCTGGATCCCCACTGGCGTGGTCAGCAGGCCCAGGCAGCTGACCCAAATGTCTAGGAGTGAGGTGAAAGATTTGCCTGTCCCTTGACCTGGTCAGATACCAAGCTGCTGCTCTGACTGTAAGCACCCACCAAGCTGATGGTTCCCCACGTGCCAACTCAAGCACCATGGGCCTTTTGCCAGGCTGTGCTCTTTGTCCCACATGGAAACTAAAGGTAAGATGCCGAGCACATCATTTACTCTGCAACCAGCAGCAGGAACTTCCATGCACATTTTTTCCGATCAGATGACACAAACTTTTCTCCTCTTCTAAAGTTATCATTTTCCCAGAAGAAACTTAACTAGGGACAACCTAAGTTTAAAGCATTAGTACTTCTTATTAGCAAATCACCACCTACATTTTACATAGAATACCTTATGGCAGAAATGTCATTCTTCACAATCTTCCAAGTTTTGCATGGATAGAATTTAGATGTGTAGCCTGGAGAAACAGTTGGGCATTTGAGAAAAGAATTCATTCTCAAGGCCCCTATTGTGTGCCAGGAGTAGGGAAAAATTTGTTGGATCCAAAGAACATGGTTTCTTGGGATTGGGAGTGAGAATGAAGACATTCTCTATGTGTTCATTTATTCATTCCAGTCCTGAGGCTAGAGAGATGAATACTACTTATACCATTTTTCAGGAAGGTGAGAATACAGATAACAGCAGGGGTTGGTAAGGAAAATTAGCAACGGTGTGCACGTCTGACCTGACCCCCACAAACAGGGTCTCCAAGCTGATGCACTAATCATTCTCACTCATCCACATTGCTTTCACAGTTACCACAGTGCCTCTGTCTTAAAGACAGCAGTTAAACAGGATCTGAGAGATACACCCTCAAACCTGAAGCAAAACAATGAAGAATAATTATGTTTGTGAATATTTTTTTCCACTATGACTAGCAGAGGCTAGAGAGTAATTCCAGGCTGAATGCACTGCCCACTCATGAGCAGACAAATGGGAGGCATGAAAACCCCAGAACAATTTTCCAAGTAATTGTAATGGTTTCATAGATGGAGTTAATTTAAACATAGAGAAGAAAGAAAGTACGAGCTAAGGAACATCAGCATAGAACTTTCTCAACTACAACTACTCAGAGTTATGACTAGCAGAGGCTAGTCATAACTACATGCATAGCAGAGGCTTTATAAAGATATTAACTTGATGGCAAAGTAAAATTATTCATAGTTAGACCTTTATAATGCTCAATACTTATAGACATGTTTATATCATATGTACATAGACAGCAAGGACTGTAAAATAAATATTGAATCTATTTCTGAATAATTAAGTAGGAGTGGGTAATAGAGTTTACACACAAAACACTTCTTAAATGAAAAATGAGACCTATAAAATGATACTGCTTAAATCAAGTGGCATACATAAACTAAAGCTCTATATGATGGTAAGTGGTAGAGAGTTGGGATTCACACTCCTATATGAGTAGCATTTAAGGAGCTTTATATTGCACTACATATATTTTATGTTAGTAAACTTAAGTCCAATTAGGCATCCATCTGTAAGAAGCTTTGCCTTGTTTAATTTCATAACTGTGATTATAATCTTCATAACCATGAGAAGGACCAGGCTCTGAAATGTTACAGAAAGCAGCTTGATTTTAATGTCTTGAATGTCTTTCCACTATAGAAGGTAGGAAGTATTTTTCAGACACTACCTCCTACTCTATCCTGTCTGCAACAGCAGCAACCCTCACCATCTACCGGGATGCCTACCTACCTGGGAATGCAAACATATTTTTCTCAAATCCAGCTCAAACACATCTTTCTGTGAGAAACAAGAGATGCCTATGTTCACAATCCTGTTACCTGAATAAGGACCACCATGACATGTCTAATCTGGAGCTTGTGATTGTGAGCTGCTGGAATAGGTGCCAGGAAATCCCACTGCTGCAAAGTGCACTGGCTTTCGGCAGCTAGAGAGTAATTCCAGGCTGAATGCACATGCCCACTCATGAGCAGACAAATGGGAGGCATGAAAACCCCAGAACAATTTTCCAAGTAATTGTAATGGTTTCATAGATGGAGTTAATTTAAACATAGAGAAGAAAGAAAGTATGAGCTAAGAAACTTCAGCATAGAACTTTCTCAACTACAACTATTCAGCATAAAGTATATTCTTCTTCCCATTTTGCTATTTCTTCCATTAGTACAGATATTGCATTGATATTTTCTAACTCTCAGATTATTGGATTCTGCAATGATACAAAATAAGACTAACATGAAACCAAGGAAACACTGAAATATCGTCTGCCCCCTTCCCAGATAGGGGCCCCTACCCCCTATCTGCCTCTACCAATCCCTCCCTTCCTTGAAATTCTTTAAGTCTCTGGACCCCCTGGAGCCTGCCAAGCCTTTTGGACACAGATGATCTATCACTGAGGTTCTTAACCCCTATGTGTGCAGACAGTGTGGTGACCTAGACTCAGTGCAACTAAAGGGCCAGAGCCATCTCTCAGTCACATCTATGATGGCTACAGTAACTGGGCCAGTGCAAAATGTTGAACAAGCTCAAGAAATACTGACTGAGTCAAGAAAGAAATGGTTGGAAAGACACAAGATCTAAAACAAACTTACACAACATATTATGAAAACAGAAATAGTATCTACAACTTTGCTATAGTAACAATTGCTCAACACTTCACAAAGAGCTGCTCAAGGATTAGGCACCCAACCCTTAAGAATGGGGAATAAAGGTAAACCTTTCTATTGAGAGGGATCATTATTTGAATTACACATGTAATCCACAAAGGGAATAGAAGGCATAGATACTAAAGCAATGACTTTAAAGAAGGGACCGATGGTGTGTGAAGGCTGTGTGGAAAGTGAATAAATGCAAAGCCTGAGATCAGAAAGCGACCTTCAAGGTCCTGATTCCAGTTCAGAACCTAGGGCACATACAGCTGCACACCACACTCCACCCATTCCAGACGTCTAACTCTCTGCTCTACTCCCTCTGTCAATGTCTTCTTTAAACAGCTAAAAATGTGTAATGAATAATTGATGATTCATACTTACACAACTGACAAAAATTTTCAAATTCACATATGAAAGATACACATCCATCTTGCTGATTAGAGATTACATACACATGGGACCAGGGGCAACAATACTAAGAACAGGCCCCACAAATTGTATCAACAACCCAGCCATCCTACTCTTGATCAATTGCATAGGCTTACTACATTATCTCTCCTTGTGTTCTCAAGGAGAGATATAAAGAAATACACGAGTCACTCACCTCAAATGCTCAGTCTGGTTAGGGAGATGAGACATAAATATATGGAAGAGAAACTAACAAAATGGCTGAAAATGTTGAGCGCTAACTGAGCTACGTGCATATTGAGAGTTTTAAAGGCAGTGATGTCACTTCTGGCTGGAAGTATCTGACAGAGAACTTGGAATATGATAAGTCAGGTGGGAAGGATTGGGACAGGTAGAAAAGAGAAGAGGACCACATAGACAAGAGGATGAGGATGGAGAGGTGTCCAAAGGATGCTCCACATTCTAGACTGGCCGAACTGAACTACAACGAAGAAGTGCAACAATGGATCAGACTGGGCAGGTAGAGAGGGAAGGTACTAGGAATACAGCCTGTATACCCCAGGGAATGTGGAATGAGGTGATGAATATCCTGTGCTCAGGGTCCTTGCACCATAAGACAAGACCAACTTGGATCTACAATAACCAACAATAACCTCTTCAAACCACATGCAATATTTCTTTCTCAAGCTTCTGGGCCCAGCACCCATACATACCTGCCTGCTGAGCATACACCCTGTCTATTACAAGGGCCAAAGACAGTGCAGCTAACAGGCATGGATGCAAATTCCAACGTATTTATTGGTGTAAGCTTGGGCAAGCACTTAATATTGCTACGTCTCAATGTCCTCAACTGTGAATGCTCTATTAAGTGGCAAAAGAAGAAAATCTGAATGGTCAATTAATGTATAAAAGAACGTTCCATCTCATTAAAAATCAGAAAAATGCAAACCAAATGATAGTATTTCATGCACATTCGAGCTGCATGAAAAGAATGTCTGATAGCATCAGGTCTTGGCCAAGAGAAGGGGAACCAGAGTTCTTACATTTGCTAGCATGCAAATGGGCAAAAGGGCTTTGGTTTGGGATATACAGGAGGTTAGAATGGGAGGGTCAGGAGTGACAGAAATTCTTGCTTCTCTTCCAGTCTTCAGTTATGTCTCTCTGGGAGGAGGCATTCAAAGAAACTCTACAGCCAGCTCTGCTTAGCCCCTCTGATTAGCTCTTTGGTGTTGGCTAGTCCACAGAATGAGCGCATTTGTGCCCTCCTTTCAGAAACCTTGCAGGTACCCCTACAGGTGGGCTCTGAGTTGCTCAGACTGCTGAGGTTCAGAAATGCCCCTGGTCTACCAGCAATGTGTTGTCCATCTAGCTGCACTTCCCAGTCCAGGATGCTGATCTTGGACTCTGTGTCCCTTCTCAGTTGGTTATTAACTTTGAAGTGAAAAAATGCATGCCATTTATATGCTATCTATCAAAGACCTAAAGCCCTAAGAGTTTGCAATAGAAAAAAGTTAGAAACAATTGACCATTAAGAGAGTGGATAAACACATTGTGGTGTTAATCAGATGGAATAATAGACAGCAGTTATAAATTAATGAACAAATATGCCTGTGACAATACAGATGAATCTCAAAAACATAAACAGGAAAAAAAAGTTGCAAAAGAATATATATGGTATTATGTTGCTTCTATCAATGTCAGTCTTTGAAAACACATGTACACACAGGTGTTGCTTACAGATACAGGCTCATGAATAAAATAAGAAAATCAGTGCAGGAATATATGTAGCAACTTCACTGCACCAGCTACTTCTGAACAGAAAGGAAAGGGGACAGGATGGGATGAATGAGAGGGCAGGTTTGTTTCTATCTGTACACTTCAATTTCATTAAAAAAAAAAAGAGGGTTAGAAACAAATGTGACAAAAAAGTGGCATCCAGTGATGCCTGGACAGAGTCTGAATATTATTTAGGCATATTTGATACATTTTAAACACACATTTTAAAAAATCTCACATATGAATTTGTTCCATATCAAAGGTCATTTATGAAGTACCTGAAAAATGCCAGGAAATATTCCAAATCCCACTGATCACCTCCAACCAGTAGCCATCTGATGGAGGATTTTAGTGATGCTTTACTGGGCTGCAGCTCTTCCATAAGAAAGCAAAGACAGAGAGTGGGATAATTAGCCAATTTAAAGTTCTGTCAGGGCCTCTGGGAGCAGCTGCCAGGCATCTTAACTGTAAAGGAATAAGCACGAGCGTTGTCCCAGATCTAGAGACCCAGGTAGGCCATGAGACGTGGGAAACTTGGTCCTGGACCTCATACCTCAGCGTGCCCTGTAGCCTCAGGCAAGCCCCTGACTGCCCGACATCACAGTACCAAGATGAGATGCACAGGAGGAATCCCACGTTCCCTTCTCCCACTGAAACCCCATGAGGCTTCCCCAGGGAGGAGGCTGTGCAGTGACTCCAACATCTGGCCTCCTCCAGCCAAGCCCGAGGGAAAATGCAAAGCTGGACACAGCGCAGATGGGGAGACCTCTGGCCGCCAGGACAGGAGGCTTCCAGAGCAAGGGTAGGAAGGGTGGCCAAGGAAACAGGAGGAAAGACAGTGTATGTGGCAACAGTACAGCAATTCTCAGGAAGAGAAGCAGCTCTAGAACTGGACTGCGCCATCCCCAGCCAGTCCTTTTTCCTTCCTGAGCTTCCATGTCCTCATGTTAAAAAGGGGAAGGAGGAAGTTACCTGTTGAACCCACTGGGGTACCAATCCTCGCAGTCACTGCCTGGTCACAGGAGTGCAGAATCAAAGGTGTCTAGTGCAGCGTAAATGCACACAGCGGGAGAGGATAATCAAGCCCAATTCTGCCCCTGATTAACTGTGGGACCCTGAGCAAGTTATCTGAAACTTGTGCCTCAGTCTTTTTATCTGTAAAATGAGGATGGTTAAATTGCTGTTGGCAAAGTGCTTACAGCGGTGAGTGGCTCATGATGGACACTCCACAAGGATGAATTACAGTCGTCCGCTGGTATCCATGGGGGACTGATTCCGGGAAACAACTCGGATACTAAAATTCAAGGATGCTCAGGTCCCTTCCAGGTGGCCCTGCATATGTGGCATCTGTGGATGTGGAGGGCCAAATGTGCTAGTAGTCATGGCAGAGAGAAGGACAGTATTTTGAAGTAACGCCTGTATATTTCTTTCTCACCAGTGTTTCCCTTTGGCCCTTCCACCACTGCACCTACACAAAGAGGCTAAGCCTTGGTTTTCTAGAGAGCAGACACAAGTAAGTAGAACAAGTAACTACATAATTGCTGTGCTTTTAAGAATCATGAGGGCCAGGCTTTCCAGGAAGACAGTGGCCATTATCAGTACTTCTTGAGCTTGATTTTTACAGACTGAGAGCCAAAGTCTGGAGGTTCAATCATAGAGTGGGAAGAATTAAAGAATGTATAACAAAGGAAGGCGAAGCATCTTCTTGTCTGGAAAGAAGGACCCGAGGGAGGAGGATGGAATGAGGGCAAAGCCAAGGGGTCAGATGCCACCACCCTGGCTTGAGTCAGCCTGGAGCTGGTGGAGGGGGCACTCAGAAAAATGGCCGTAGGTTTGGGAGATAACTCCTGAAAAGCTGAGTCACTTCCCAGAAGTGATCAGATTCCTGACTGCCCAAAAGGCTGGGATATCCCAACAGAGACAGAAACTTTAACAAGAACAACTGTTTTCAGCCATCAGCAAATATTGGGAGCCATGGAAGGAAAAGCAATGTTCTAAACTAAGAGGACCTCCCTGTCTGCACATACCACTTTTGTTGTATTCATTTTGACCCTGTTACATGATTATTTGGATGACCTCAGATTAAGAAGTTAGTGAAAGGCATGAATGACAAAGCAGTCTCTCCGCGTAGCCCAGGACAAGCAGCCTCCCCAAATCATTGTCACAGTTCTGTCACCAGATGGCGAAAGTGCCTTTTCTAGCTGCCCAATTTATGAAAACCTGTTTCCAGCTCACACCCTTAGGGTGCACGTAGAGGCAAGTCACGAAGTCCCTTCCATTTATACAGTGTAGTCTTACTAGCTTCTGATAACCTGTAACTGTGTGATTTCAGAGCTGGAGGAAAATGCTGAAGTGATTCCTTTCAACTCTGCTTTTTATGGAGTGAAAACACACCCACAGGTCTGGTGACTTCTTGAGGCAGGTCTCTGCCTGAACTGAAGTCTGGTCATACCACAGGGCCAGTGATAGAAAATGTTCATTAATAAGTACTCAGAATCCACAGGCATCCTGGAGCGCAAATGGCTCTGCCTGCACCTGTCAGCCCTCCTCACCACCTATAAGAAACCTGGAAAATGATGTCTTCCTTTCAGCAGTCACCTGGAACTAAACCTCTCCCCCGTCCTTGTTCAGGTTTCTTCCCTGAAACTGTCTTATCAAACTAGCACAGGACATGGCCAAATTCTCCCTCCAAACTTGACAAGCAGAAGGGCCCTTGCCACCTGGGGACTCTGGCCCTGCAGCCTGAGTCCCCGACCCCCTGAGGGCTGGGAGGTGCCCTGCCATGTGATGTCCCTTCATCAATCCAGGAAGGCACAGAAAGGCTCCCCACCTAGCTCCCTGCCCCTCTCTACTTTCTCCCTCAAAAAGAGAGCTAATTCTAATGTGAAGTGAAGTTGATCCACAAGCTACCTTCCAGCCTCCACCACAAGGATTATAGCAACAGAAACTAAGGACAGAGAGACGCTGCTGCCTGTGCCATTCAGAAAAGAATTTTTTTTTCTGTTCTGTCTTTCCACTGTCTGTCAGAGAACAGATTTGCACACAAAGGGATTTAATTAAGAACTGTCCCCAGAGGCTGTCAGTTTCTGAGTCTCAGTAAGAAGACAACTCCACATACAACACAATAGATTAAGAATACTGCAGCCTGACAATCTGAGGCAATACAGCTTTCTTCTCGGGCACCACAGACAACTTTTCCTTCTTTATGGCTTTAGCTTCAGGCAAGACCCTTGTCTACTAACATCTTTTAAATCCTCTCCTGAATAATTCCCTCACATTAATACAGATCAACAGGAACTTGCTAGGTCAATTATGCGGGGGAAAAACTAGTGGCAGGGTTTACACTTCATATTTACTTGGTTGCAAACAGCAGAACAGCTAGGAGGAGAATGAGGAAGACCTCCTTCTTTGCTGATGGTTCAGACCTGATGGGCAGTCTGGAATCTGCCAGCTTGCCTAACAGATACACAGTCAGAAAGGATGCAGCCAAACGTGCTGGCGGCCTGCACCCCCGCCTCTGCAAGGAGCCAAGGGGCCGTAGGGCCCCCCGGAGCACCAGGGCCAGTGCAGGGAGCGGCTTCTCACTTCCCACCTGGGAAGCATGGGTGACGCTGAAATCTTTGTAGAATTATTTTGTAGATAATTGGCTCATTTATAGATTCCTAAATTAAGCCCGTAAGAGAAAGAAAGTAATGTCAACTGCATCTGACCACCTGTTTGGGGAGAGAAGAAGGTTCCCTGACAAATTTTGAAAGATATTCTCTTCTTTAAAAACATTGGAAGATCAAAACCCTTTTGTTTTAAAGAATTACAGCTAAGTAATCCTTGGGAGAAAAAAGAGAGCTTAATTTTTACTTCATATATAAATGACTAAAATAATGTCTTCCTAAGAATAGACTTTTAAAAGACAGGTGTGACATGGGGATTAGTTCTCTCAGGGATGACAAATTCAAATTTCTTCAGGGACCAGTCAAGTAAGAAAATGAGGCCATGAACTAAGTGTGTAATAAGGAGTGGTGGGGACTGTGGCCAATGGGGGGAAATGTTAATGCAATGAAACCACTATGCCTACTTCATACACACACTCACACTCACACACACACACAGCCACATATACACTCACACGCACCCACACACACCTACACCCACACTCACACACCCGCTCACACTCACACTCTCACACACACCCGCTCACACACACCCACTCCCACACCTACACTCTTTCACACACTCTCCCACACTCACACACACACACCCACACTCACACATGCACCCACACACATGCTAACACACACATACAGCCACACTCACATTCTCATACATCCATTCACACACACACTACACTCTCTCAATCTCTCTCTCACACCCAAACCTACACTCTCACACACTCACGCACCCACACATACACCCACACTCACACATGCACCCACACGCTCACACTGACACACTTTCAAGCATGCACCCACACCTCACACACACATGCTCACACACACTCATGCACACACATGCACCCACACTCATATTCTCACACATGCAGGCCACACACACTCTCACACCCACACTCACTCCACACACACCCTCACACCCCCCACACACACGCTCACACACATGCTCACACACACTCATACCCACATATCCACTCTCACACGCACCCACACAGTCACACTCACCCACACTCATACACACCCTCTCTCACACCCCCACACCCACATCCACACACACATCCACACACACCCCACACCCATACATCCTCTCACACACACACACCCTCACACACCCACACTCACAGACTCTCATACCCACACATCCACACTCACACCCACACACTCACTCACACACCCACCACTCATAAGAGTGTGGATAAGTAGGTGTGGGTGTCGCACATGCCCACACTCACACACTCTCACACTTACACATACACTCACACTGTCTCACACCCACACTCACACACACTCATACACACTGTCTTACACACCCACACACTCTCTCTCACACACACACACACACACACACAGGCCAGGGGAAAACAGAACTACAGTGCTCCCGTTTGGCATTCTTTGAGATGGCAGTGACAATGCCCACTACAAGCAGGAAGTGAAGATGACCAAAGGCACCCATCAGTCTGCCTTTGCCCAAAGCTGGCCGGGCTCCAACAGCCCTGCTCGCACCCCCAACTGTAGAGTGACCCAAATGGATGCCCGTCTGGACACTGCCTGAAGTCAGGGTTTGCTTGTCTTGTTAAAGCTCCTTCAACACATCAGCTGCCAATTACCCAGGAAGTGCTGGACCACAGCCCGAGCCAGGAGTGGACAGGCACTGTGGGTTCCCATCACTGGCCCTGAATCTCTTCTTGAAGCTAAGCCTATTCAAAAGTAGGCTGAAATTAGAACAGGACACCCACTGTGGTTTCTCCGTTTGATGAAGTCCCTTTCCATGGAGTTTTAAGCTCTGGTGGAGAAGACACAGCAGTGCTCACTCACACAGAAAGGGACTCTTTGCACCCAGACATACGGCGCAATGGTCCCTGAGATCTGACCATTAAATTATATCTGTCATCCCTTGCTGTTACCTAGAAGCAAGATAAGCTGATTTTCTTAGCTTCCTGGAGAGGACTGGGAGCCCAGACATGAACTCTGCTACCAGTGGGAGGTTACCCTGAGCTGGGAGGCTGACATTAGAGCACAGTGTACCCCTCAGCTGCCTGTCTCTCTCCTGCTTCTCCTGCCCAGGCCACAGCAGCAGCCTTGTCAAAAGCCATATTCTTTTTCAACCTACCCACTCATGACATTTGTGTGTGTGACGCAGCAAAAGCACAGCGAGTGGAGGTAGAGGCGCTCGGGGCAGTTCTGCCCCACGTGAGAAAGAAAGGTGAGCATCTGGCCACCTGCTGGCTCCCTGCACATCCCAGGCTCCCCACGGGTGGGGCTTGTTTCCCTCCATGTCCCCAGAGCATAGTTGTCAACAATGCCACAGTGTCACCAGGTGGGGAGGTTTAGCTCCTGGCATATCAAGAGGAATTAATAAGAATAGTGACTTACTTGAAATTAATTTTATTATATTTCATTTGTTTCAAGCTTTCTAAAACAAAAATATTGAGCTCTCTTTTTTAAAAGCATACAGAATTTGGAAGTAAAATATAAATAAGAATTGTTTTTAAAGCTAGATATGAGGAAAGCAAAGATACATACAGAAGGGCCAATCTGTTTGGTATGGTTGAAGGTACTATTTATTTCTGATTGGCCTATTGCCCTAAGGGTACACAGAGCAGTAGGAAAGGAATCTGATTTCCAAGCATTCTGACCTTCATTACAGGAAGGGTAGGAAAAATTGCCCATGGCTGAGTAGTGAGAACTTGGTGAGTGGCTGAGAACTTGGTGGTGGGCAGTTCTGACCAGCTGGGGATGCCTCTGAAGTGTTCACCTACTTGATGATTTGGCCTAAGGCTGAGCTGGCTCCCAGTACCTGTTTTCTAAGAATATTTAAACTAAAGAGCTTCTGCACAGTGAAAGAATCTATCCACAGAGTAAACAGACAGTCTACAGAATGGGAGAAAATATTTGCAAACTATGCATCCAACAAAGGTCCACCATCTATAAGAAATTTAAACAAATCAGCAAACAAATAACAAATAACTCCATTAAAAAATGGGCAAGAGACATGAACAGACACTTCTCAAAATTAGACAAACAAGCAGCCAACAAGCATATGATAACATGCTCAACATCACTGATCATCAGACAAACACAAATCATAATCACAATGAGATACTATCTCACACCAGTCAGAATGGCTATTATTAAAAGGTCACAAAATAACAGATGCTTGTGAGGCTGCAGAGAAAAGGGAGCACTAATACACTGTTGGAGGGAATGTAAATTAGTTCAGCCACTGCAGAAAGTAGTTGGAGATTTCTCAAAGAACTTAAATCAGAGCTACCTATTACCCAGCAATACTATTCCTGGGTATATACCCAAAGGAAAATAAATCCTTCTACCAAAATGACACATGCACTCCTATGTTCATTGCAGCACTACTCACAATAGCAAAGACATGGAATCAACCTAGGTGCCCATCAACGGTGGATTGGATAAATAAAATGTGGTACATATACACCATGGAATACTACATAGTCATAAAAAAGAATGGAATGATGTCCTTTGCAGCAACATGGATGCAGTTGGGTACCACTACCCTAAGTGAATTAATGCAGGAACAGAAAACCAAATACCACATGTTTTCATTTATAAGTGGAAGCTAAACATTGGGCACTTATGTACACAAAGATGGGAACAATAGACACTGGAGACTATGAGAGGGGCGAGGGAGGTGGGCAAGGGTTGAAAAACTAACTGTTGCATACTATGTTCAGTACCTGAGTGATGTGATCATTCTTATCCCAAACCTCAGCATCACACTATATACCCAGGTAACAAATACCTTGCAAAAGTCTTCTGGGGGAAGGCAAACAATGTTGCCCCCAGCTGAGCTCCACTGGTGTACAGCTTAGTAAACAGTTAAGTTTTATCCACTCCTTCTTGATTCTGTGACTTTGCTTCTGGGATCATTTTCCTTCTTCCTAAATTTCATCCTTTAGACTCTTATTTTAAAGTTCTTTTAGTAAATATTTTTTGGTGGTCAGCTCTCTATTGTATAAAGTATCTTTCTTTAGGCTCATTCCTGAAGGACAATTTTGTTGGATACATCAATCGGATTAACACTTGTTTCTCTCTTATTTAAAAATATTCTCCTACTGTGCTGTGTTTTCTGTTGATCAGATGTCTGCTGTAAGCCTACTCACTGTTATTCTGGATGTAATGTCTTCTCTGGTTGCTCTGAACATCTTTATTTTGCCTTTGTTGTTCTGCAGTCTCTATAATATGGCTGGATGTGAATATATTTTTATTTATCTTTCTTTAGATTCATTGGGTTTCCTGAATGAGAAAATAGATGTCTTTCAACTAGAAAGTCTTGGAACTGCCATCTCTTGGAACTATCTTAATTTCTCCCATACTCTACAATCTCAGAATTCTAAGCAGAATTCTAAGCAGACTTTCAACTAGAAAGTCTTGGAACTGCCGTCTCTTGGAACTATCTAAATTTCTCCCATTCTCTACAATCTCAGAATTCTAAGCAGATGTGTGGTAGATCTTTTCACTCTATCCTCCATGTATCGAAACATCTCTTTCCTGTGTTCCATCTATATGTCTATGTTTCATACTAGTTAACTTCTTCAGATCTGTGTGCTGGTTTGCTAATTATATCTTAAACTGCATCTAGTCTACAACTGTTAATCCCTCCCATTGAATATTAATTCCATGGGATTGATATCATTCATTAAATGTATCATTCACTTAAACAAGCTTTATCTGATTCTTATTCAAAGCTGACTAGGATTGGGGATATATTTCTGTTCTTTACCCATGCACTTTATTCCAGCATTTTCTTTATATGTATATATGTAAATAAGTATATATCAAATATACTCATTTTACATCCCAATATCTGGGTCTGATTCAACTGCTTTTGCCTCAGCTGATTCTTGCTCACATTGCCCTTTCTTCTTGTGAGTACTTTTTCTTTTGAGGTCACATTACTTGGAACACTACTTGTGGGAATTTTTTGCAGCCTGGGTGAAGGGTGCATTCACCCCGTGTGTGTTTGTTTAGATCAGATACCTGTTGATCCATTTAAAAACACATATTCCATTTGGACTTTGCAGACCACACAGGGAAGCATGAATTGGGCTCCACATCCATAAGAGGGTAAGCCTGCTACAGATGGCAATGACTTGGGGAAAACACAAACATTTCTTTCTCCTCTGGACAGAGCCAAGGCCCATTGAAAGATGTTTGCCTACACTGTCCCATTGCAGTACAGGCTCTTGGGTGCCCTGGCTTTATAAGATAGATCCTGATCTGATTCTTTCTACTTGGGGACCTGAACTCTTCACGTGCCACAACCCGGTAATGATTGGCCATGAGTGCCAAGGGCCCAGGCCCCAAGATCAAGAGATGCTCCCAGACAGCCACAACTTCAAGGCAGACTTTGCTCTATGGATTCCAACTCCACCTCTAGAAATTAATTTCTCTTATTTTCTTGCCACTTCAGCTGTGCTTTTAAAAATGAATATAGAATGTGAAATGACAGACAATGGAGACTCAGAAAGGTGTCAGGGATGGGGAGGGAGTAAATAATGAGAGATTATGTAATGGATGCAGTGTACATTATTTGGATGCAGTGTACATTATTCTGGTGATGACTACACTAGAAGCTCTTCCTTCACCACTACGCAGTGTATCCATGTAATAAAATTACACAGTACCCCATCAATTTATACAAATAACATTTTTCTTTTAAAAATATGTGTTTTATATGATATTCAGGATTTCAGGCATTTTGTTGAAGGTGAGTTGTCAGGCTATCCTCCATATTCCCAGGAAAGGAAGGAGAGGTCTCATGTTTAAAGCATCATCACTTTTGCTATTCTTGGATACTTGGAAATGTGCAGAGCCACCTGGCATTTTAATTTCTTTTCTTTTTTTTCTTTATTTTATTTTATTATTATTATTTTTTTTAGAGACAGGGTCTCACTATGTTGCACAGGCTGGTCTTAAACTCCTGGGCTCAAGTGATCCTCCCAGCTCGGCCTCCCGAACTGCCGGGATTATAGGCATGAGCCACTGTGCCTGGCCATGGAGTTTTAATTTTCAAGCTCTATGCTTTTCCACAGGCCTAAGGCTTCTGAGAGAACTCACAGGGCCCTCGGCAGAGGCCTGACATCATCCTTTTCCACAGATTTGAAAGGCAGTCTATGTCCTGGCCGCACCCCAGTGCCCGACAGAAATAGAATGAGAAGTATGATCCAGCTGGCAGGATCTCAGCCTTGGAACAGACAAGCAGTAAGAAGGATTTCCAGCTACGTGGTCAGAAAAGTACCATGAAGGATGGTCACAGGGTAGGTAGGCCTGGGTGGGAAGCCATATCCTTCATGCAAACTCACAGTTGTTACATTTGATACACTCTTTTCTTTTCCCTAGAACATCTGGCCCAGGATTCCTCTGTCATTTAAAAACAAGCCATCAACAACAGTGGAGTCTATTAATAATAATAGAGTGGCTTCTACTGTGTGCCCCCTTGACCCCCTGACCCAAGCTCTCACAGTGCCTCACACACCACACTACTGCTGCCTGTCTCCTGGAGGGGGCCATTTACTTCCCGTCACATCTCTAGGATGCAGCCCAGGGCCTCACACACATGGTGTCCTAAATATTTTCAAATAAATGTAAGAATAATGTTTCCGTTGGGACTTATCAGATTTAGAGATATCATCTGAGGAGGTAATGTTTTATGGAAAAGCAGCTCCATGGAGCCAGTCCCTAATGATTAGAGGTTCTACAAGAGTCCTTCTAGAGACCAAAATCTGGACCAGGGCGTGGCTACCTCCCCCTGAGCTGCACACTCTGCAGAACTTGTCTAAATATCCACATGAACTTTGTTCAGAGCTTTACAGGTTCAAATTGCTTTCACATACATCTTATTTACTTCTTATAATGGGAGAGGAATGCAGAATACTATCCACTTTTTTTTCTTTTCTTTTCTGTTTTTTAAGATGGGGTCTTATGCTGTTGTCCAGGCTGGAATGCAGTGGCCCAATCATGACTCACTGCAACCTCAAATTCTTGGGCTCAAGCCATTCTCCTGCCTCTGCCTCTCAAGTAGCTGGGTCTACAGGTGAGCACACCAACATGCCTGGCCTTTTTTTTTTTTTTCAATTTGTTGTAGAGATGTGGCCTCACTATGTTGTCTAGACTGGGCTTGAACTCCTGGACTCAAGTCATCTTCCCACCTCAGTCTCCCAAAGTGCTGGGATTACAGGGATGAGTCACCACACCAGGCCCCATTATCTTTTTTTTTTTTAACCACTAGAAAACAAGGCTCTGAAAGTTGTCCAGGGAAGCACTGGATAAAACAGAACCCCATTCACCCCACCGTTCAGATGATAAGTACCCTGTCCTCAAAGTCCCAGAAGCTGATTCTCCACCAAAACTGAAGAGGAAAGGACTGGAGAGCATGGGACCTGCTTTCCTAAACCTCCTCATGATATCAACTGCCTGTATGATTTTGGAGGGGGCACTAATTTTCTAAGGTGAATTTTCACTGCCTATGAACAAGAGGCTTTTCAAAGTCATGTATTTATTTACAGGAGCATGGGTGAATCACACATCTGCAAGGGGGGTGTGGTCAGCTGGAAAACAAATGCCCTCCCAAAGGGGCAGCCCTGCCCAGCTCTGACAGATGGCTGCCATCTGGGAATCATTTCATTTTTGTAAGAATTAGGCAATCTGGGAATTTATATGAACCTCCCGCTTGTCAAATACAGGCACTAGTAAACAAATGTTTTATATGCCATGAGCCAAATAGAATACCTCCTAGAACCAGATCTTCCTCTTGGGCCACCTGTTGCCCCACATGGGTCTGATAATCCCTGGAGTCCTACCTGCCTCTTGGGATCTAGTCTTCTTTTCACTGCCCCCTGGACTCATTCCCCCTTGCTCTCAGGGAAATCCTGGGACTAAGTGCTTTTAGTCCCATTACGACTCAAGACTTCATCCTTTGAAGGACACAGACATTATTTTGTTCATCAGATGGCCAAGTCAAATATGACAAATCCATGTAAATAAATGCTTAGCCAAGTGGATCAAGCATTTATTGGACATACATATAAGCAAGGCACTCTGGGCTTGTATAACTTTTCCTTTTTCCGGGTACCTGAAATGTTCTCCACCACACGCAAAATGCCACTTCATCACCATATGGTCACGAAGACACTATGCACGATCTTCAGAGTCCAACACGCTAGGATTCAAATCCTGTCTTCACCATTTACTAGCTCTATGACCTTGATCAAGCTATTTAACTTTTTCGGACCTTAGTTTTCTCTCCTTTAAAAATAAAGAAAATACCACCAACTCAGTCTGTTGTGTAAATTACTCCAGAAAAGCCAATATATAAAAAATATTGGCACTAGATAAATATTGATTCCCTTCTGCCCACTGTAAAAGATTATGGTGTTAATTCTATCATACTTCACATCAGATATTGTATGGAACATGCAAATAAGCAGTTTTTAAAGCTGTGTTTCCCCCACCTGAGTTAGGAACACATCTAAAGAGTCTAGATATGGCATATGACTCCCTCTTTAAAAAAAAAAGTCACTGTTTAAATGGCTTTAGACACAAGGGTAGAAAATGAGAAGTAGAGAATTTACAAAATCTTACTCAGAACCAAAACAAACTCAGAGACAGCAACAGTACATGCATTAGCCTGACTTGCAGAAAAGAACACAGATTGACTCATTTTACTTAGTGAAGGTGGATAATAATAGCATTGTTTTCAGTTAAGTAACATCAGCCAAAAGAATATAAATACCATTAGACTGAAAAGTGTGAATAACCGTAGCTTTCTCTTTGCTGGCACTTTCTCATAATTGATATAGAGATCTATTTAGATGAAGGTTTTGATTCCAAATTTCATGTTCAAATTTTTTTAATTGATAAAAACCTAGAAATAAGATTTTGCAGTGGGGTTAATGGCAAGTCAGATACGGAGGCAGTCAGAGAGAATTTGGTTTAACTCAGTGGTCCCAAATCATTTCACCTCCAAGTACCCCTTCCTGTTATCTCTCTCTCAACAGTTCTTATGCTTTGAAAGACAGTCTAGTAAGCTTCACTTATTAATAATTCATCTTCCCTTTTTCTTCAAAGACTTATACAATTGCCAATCAGAGCTCCTGATCGGCTACGATAACCAGTGTTGACACACTTTGCTGATATCAATCCTACCAAAAGCAAAGAAATGTGAAGATTTAGTTATCCTGTATGGCCCTATTTCAGAGTCACAAAAATTCCATTAGGTTTTATAAAACATGAAATAAGCTTGCAAACTCCCCTTTCCACCATCACAGTCCTCCAGGAGACCAAGATTCCCATGATGAAAACAACTTGTTTTGTTGAGCAAAATAGAATGATTTTTTTTCAATTAACACATTTCAAATGTGATTTGCTTCTGAACAAATCATGTGGCCACTGAGGCAAAATTTACAACTGCTCAATACAGCCCCTCTCCCTACCCTTAGTCACCTTTTAGTTTTCTGTGACACAAGGATCCATTCACATAAGTAATACAGGAACTCCTAAAGTAGCTCTCAGAATGCAATAGACACAGAATCAGAATGGTCAAGTTGAGCCCCTCAGTTAATGTTCATTGGCATACACTTCATCACCACTCACTCCGTGCCTTCGTCATAAGCACTGTTTTCCCATCATGTGTGCTGATGCATCCTCACACACCCCACTGTTACTACCTCGTTAGGTCTGTTTTAGGAAGTCAATTTTGGTCATTGACACTATGTTTTGGGCTAACCTGTGTGCTTCTACAATTCAAATTTTGAAGTCCTCACGCCAGTAGCTAAGAATATGACTGTCTGGAGACAGGTCTTTAACGAGGTAATTAAGTTAAAATGAAGTCAGGCCCCAATCCAATATGAGTGTGTCCTTATAAGAAGAGGAGATGTGGACACAGACAGATGCAGAGGGAACACCATGAGAAAACACAGGAAGAAGATGGACATCTGCAAGCCAAGGAGAGAGGCCTCGGAAGAAACCAGCCCTGCTGACACCTTGATCTTGGACTTCCAGATTACTTGGAAATGTGGAAGTCTGAAAATCTTGGATTTCCAGATTTATTCCAAGACAACAAATTTCTGTTTAAATTACCCAGTCTGTGTTACTTTGCTCTGGCAGCCCTAGCAGACTAATGTACTGTAGGAAGCAGAAAACAGTTAAAAATATCATTCCTTTACTGAAAAAAAAAAATAAGCCAATAGACAAGTTTCCTTATTCAAAGTTGGATGCCTGCTGGTATAAGTTAAAGAAAAAAAGACACTTGGTATCATTTGAGAGGCAGTGGAGAAAATTCTACTATTAACTATGTTTTTATTTGGATGTACAAATTAAATTACAACCATCCCTGGAGGAATGAACACATTACTCTCATTATTATTAGCAGCTTAATGGTATTTTGTGGAGTCAGTGAGATCTTTCACAAGTATCTAACTGAGATCAAACAGGCTGTAAAGAGAGGAAGTTTTAATGGGGTAAAAGAGTACAGAAAGAAGGGAAAAAACAAGTTTAGAATATGCAGAAAACTGAGTAGAGAAAGCAGCAACAAAACATGCCCAAAGAAAGAGAAGCCTATGAAGACAGGGAGAAACCGCACTCCTGCCGGAGCCAAATACCCTGCACATCACAAGCACAGCCAGGCTCTGGAGTTAATCTACTGCTCAAAGAGGGTCAAGCCTCCATCAATAACTAGTAATTTCCCCTCTCTCTCTGTCTCTGTCTCTCTCTCTCTCTCTCTCTCCCTCTCTGGAAGCAGAGAACAGACTGTTAAAGGATCTATGCATCTTGCAGGGACTGAGGCCCAAATAATCTCACTTTCACTTCCTTCCTTGCTAAAGTAAACAGTGTTCCAGGCATGACCCGACTGTACCACAATCTCCATTTGAATCACATTTTCTTCAGAGAAGTGCAAAGCACTTCAGACAGAATGCTTTCCTTTTTCATTTTCCATGTACTTTGTGCTATGCACATTACAGACTACAATCTCTCTCTGAAACCCAGAATACCCAGAGCAGGCATGTTAACAATTTCTGTGCCCTGGTACTCAGCATCATGACAAATCTCCATTACTGCAACCCACAAAGCCCGTGGACTCACAACTAACCCTATACCATTCTACATTCATATTTTCAACATTCTTCAAAAAAAGCATTGCTTTCTCTTTTGTACATTGAAGGAAACAAAAATGGAGACAATAAATGGCTTGCACAAGGCCACGATAAATTAGCAGAATGCCTAGAAATGTTCCCGATACTAACAAAAATGAGCAAACATGCTCTAACACTATAAAATCTTTATGTAGTTGACATATTGTAAGAACAAGCATATAATTAAAAATATGTAACAACTTTGCAACGTTCAAGCATGTGTGCATCCCAGCATCTGGTAATAAATGATGAAAGTTTAGAATGAAACGTCATTTGAAGATGGAAGATGCACTTAATATTCCAAAAATAGCTTTACTGGTATTTTAATTCTTCCTAAGATTGTAATCTTTCCAATTTCCCTTTTGTCAATATCATCTCCCATCCTCAGAGTTTGAAAACACATTCTACCTATGGACTACCAAACAGGTAGCAAAGAGGAAATTAAATGAGAGATCCCTCTCCTCCATAGACAAAAGCAGCTTCATGGCTGCTAGCATTTAGCATGAATTGTTAAGACAGAAGTTTGAATTATTTCCTTTACCTGTGATCTCAGGTAGGTAAGTGGACACTGAAGTATTTGGGCTTACTAGATCAAAGTGCTACTAATTCCTCAGTTTACTTCTAAGGACAATTCCAGAAAATTACTATGAAACTATAAATAGTGCAAACAACAAAAGGAATTAATTAAAAACCAACTGCTTATCTTTGACTTTAGAAGAGCCGATGATGTTACCAATTCAAAACTTAAGAGAATTGTTCTAGTGTTCTATGACCCTGCTCCAGGCCAAAATGGAAGGCCCCTCCTCTGAGCTCTTCTAGCACCCACAGGTTCCTTTACCTGGACACATTTGCCTGTGAACTTTTGTTCTGCACCCAAAACACCTGGAGAGATATCTACCAGACCCTCCCGTAGGCAGGAAGCATTTTGAGGGCAGGGTTTCTGATTTAGTTAATTTTGCATGGCCTGGGCGTGGTTCATATGAGTTGCTCATCCCAGTTGTCTTTCTCCAAAGGGCTGCAGTCAAATGTGAGTACTTAAGCAATGTATGCCTGGAGTTATATTTTGCTACATGAGCCTAGGGAAAGCTGGCCCCTTATCTTACAGATAAGAGAAAAGAAACCCAGAGGGCATATGTCTTTTGTTCCAGTCCTGCAGCTGGTTAGTGGTAAAGCCAGAATGAATAACCATGTTTCCTGACTCTAAATTCCAGCACTCTTTCCATACTTTGTACACTATATATAGATCTGTCCTTCCTGGCTTTGTACTTATATAACACTTGATAATTCATTGCCACAAGTCAGTAATTACATGGGCTTCACATCCTGGGAATTAGCAGATCTCACAGGCTAATTCCAGGAGGGGTATTCCAGCAGAATTCCTCCCTAAACCTTTGCTTTAGTAGCTGCACGTTCCATAACGCCCTCTGCAGGTGGGAAAAGGACAGCTATGGCCTGGTAAGTCAATGGGCTAAGTCCAGGCAGGCCATAGGTTGAACCTACCTTGAGGTGTTTGGAATAACTGAACACCTGTGCAGGTCTCTCTCAGGCCCCTAGCCCACTGGCAGAGATTTTACCTAGAGCCTGTGCATGCATGCTGTGCAGCACCTTCACCCAAACTAAAGCCCCAGTGGAGCTGGGCTTTTGGTTCAAGTAGAGTATAAGGGTTAAAAACCTAAGCTATGGAGTAGAACTGCTTAGTTTGACATATGAATCTGTTTCTTAATAGCTGTTCTGCCTTCAACACATTATTTAAATATTCTGTGTCTGTTTCCTCTTCTCCATAACATGGAGACAATGGATAATAATCCACCTCCTAGCATGGGATGAGATTTAACTAACGTACATGAAAACCAGCGGGATCCTGACGCACAGTAGGCATTAGAGAGATGGCCGGTATTATTAACATTACTACTACTCATCTGAAACAAAACAATTTTTAACCATTAACTGCACTTGTTGGTTTCACCATCCACTATGATTTGGCACCCAGTGAGCAAATATTTTCTTTTTCTTTTAATTTTTAGAACATTTGCATGATACCCTAAACACATAATCTAGGGAAATGGCTTTTTATATGAATAGTCTCCCTTAATTAGCTATTAGTTGAAGAATATATCCCAAATGGTACCGTAAATTACCCTGTGTTTGAAAGCAGGTTAAGAATTTCACCGACAACATTCCCAAATTAGGAGCAGTACATTAATGTTGAAAGTCCCTCCGATACCTGTTGGGATCCTTCCCTTCAGTGCCATAGGCTTCATCCTCATGAAGCCCTTTTAAAGTGAACACCGAAGGAATCCCTATGGATTGGCCACAGTGCTCTGGGAAGGATTACCTCTGCCCTGAAAAAGAGAGGTCATGTCAAAGGGACGTGAGCACAGTGCTCTCCACCTCTCAGAACCAGAGAGCACCTCTTCTTCAAAGTGGGGGACCACAGAACCAAAGCTGTTCCACCCCTTCCTGGAAGGTGCAAAGTCGCCCGGCGGGCGTTCGCATCTTACCACGAACTCCTCCAAAGTCTGATAGGTCTTGCCCCGGAACTCGCAGTAGTTCTTCCTCTCCTTGCACTGCGGGCAGCACTGGCTCGTGTCGACGTGGATGCAGCGCGGGTGCAGCCTCGGGCACTCGGGCTGCGCGCACAGCGGCCCCTCCTCGGTGCACAGGCACGGGCAGGCCGAGGGGCCCGGCGCGAACTTCTCCCCGATCGCGTACACGAAGCCGCTCTCGTCCACGCAGCCCTTGCCACGGTAGTCCGGGTACACGTACTCCTCGGGTGGCTCGGGCGTGGGCGCGAGTTCCGGGCCAATCGCGTCCTGGGCGGCTGCGGCCAGGGCTTCCGCCTGCGGGGTGTCCCCGCGGGGCCGGACCTGCAGATCCCCGGCCTTGGCGCCCCCGCCCTGGGAGACCCAGGCCTGCTTCAGCTTGCTCCACGGCTCACGGCCGGCGAGCCCACGGCCGCTCTTGCTCTTCCAGTCCCGGCCGCTGCCGCCCTCGTCCCTCGCCGGGCGCCCGAGCTCGTTCACCCGCCCCGGGCCGTCCCGAGAGGCGTGCTCACGCTTCTCCTGGCCCGGCTGCTCTGGTGCCTGGGCCAGCTTCTCCAGCGGGATGCTCGGACTGCACAGAGCCACCATCAGGCAGCAGGTGACCAGGAGGGAACTGGAGAGCGCGCCAACTGCCATCGCAGTGGAGCTGGGCATCCCCTACCACGTCCCGGCGGGCGGGCGGGCGGGGAGCGCGGCCGAGGGGCGAGTCGCATTCACAGCCCGGGGGCGCGCCGCCGCCAGCCGGGAGCCGCCGTCCCTGCGGAGAGAACAGCAGCACAACTGAGCCCCGCGGCCCGCGCGCGCCCCGGCCCGCCGCGGCCCCCACCCGGGCTCCGGCATAGCTCTAGATTAACGAGCTGGGCGACGGGGGCGGGGGCAGCATGCCCAGCGTCGGTGCACGGCCGGGGTTCTTAGACATCACAAACTGTGGAGCGATACATTGGAAGCGAAATCCAAGAACGACACCGGCCGGCGTGTTTCTGATGTAGTCGTGATTAGTGTTGGAGATGGCCAAGGGCGGCTTGCGGAGCCCAGGGAACGCAGCGAGCCAGGCCCGCGCCCCCCTGCAAAGCTCTGCCTTGAACCACGTAATTCAGGCACCCAGGGTGTCCCTCCCTAGGTCCTGGCCACATTTCCCGAAGGTTATTAAATGGAGAATTCAGCAGTGGAGTTAGAGACGGACGAATGTACAGGAAGATAAGAGGGAAACTCTTCCTCATTTGCTTTAGGGGGTTGTGCTGGGAAAATGCGGGGAGGTTAAACAAAGCTTCTCCTAGGACTCCACGATTCATTTCTAACAACTTCTTAAAAGACTCCCGTCTCGGGAGCAGACGCCCCCTCCCCGCTCTCTAAGCCCCGCTGCATGAAAGGATGCCCTCGGCCCCTTGCCAGAGGGCCGGGTCGGGGATTCCCGGGGCTTCAGCTCCTCTGCCGGCCCGCCCCTCCGAGCCTTGGGAGCCAGGTCGCCGGCCGCAGCGCTCAGTCTTGTAGTGTCCTGGCTGCGGAGCAGAAGCGCCCGGGCAGCACCAAGGTGTGCAGTGCGGGAGGCTGGGGCCCCAGGGCGCAGAGTGGGCGCGAGACCCTCCTACTCGCTGGATCCCGGCCAGCCTTTCTGGATTCCAAAGTTTCTGCCGCCCAAAGGGGCTGGGAGAGCCCGAGACGCCGCAGGACACCGGCAATCCAGCCTCTCTCCGCCTCACTCCCCGAACGCCCCCACTCTGCGCACTCCGGTGCGTCTGTCCCCTCCCCCTCAGCCCTCCTCCCTGAGGGCTCCGGACGTGCCCGGCCCTGCTGACCCCCTGCCCGGTCCCTGCCGACCTCAACACTGGGCGAAGCGCCCATATTCACAAACTTGGGCGGGGGAGGGGGTTCCTCCGGAGCAGCTGAGCGGCTGAACCCAGCTGGAGCGCGTCCGGCCGCGCGGGGACACCCAGCATGCACCCTCAGCCCTGAAGACCGGCGCCAAACCTACATACATGAGCGCAGGGCGCGGGCCGGACGCCGGGCTCGCAGCGGGCGCAGGGGTAGCAGCGGCGGGCGCGGGCCCGGGTTGCCAGCGCCCATCCTGGGCCGGCCGGCGACCCGCGTGGGGCGGACCACTAACAGCCCAGCCCCACCTGCGCGCTCCGCCTGGCGCGCACACCGGGCTAGGGCGTCTCTGGGGAGTCGCTCATCGCGCTGTCAGCTGCCGGTAGTCGCGGCCCCAACTCGCGTCAGTGCCCGCGTCGCCCTCAGTCGCTCATCCTCCGGCCTCGTCCCCGCTTCTCCGAGACCAAGCGCGCCCCGGGGGCCACCCTGGCGCCGCCTCGCTCCTCTCCGCGGAGGGGTTCGGGGAGCTCTCCAGACCCGGCAGCCGGAATGTCTGGGCAGCCGTGGCGCGTCGGAGGGAAAAGAGAAGCCCGGAGCGCGGCCGGCGCGCGAGTGGCACCGAGGCCAGCATGGGAGCTAGCGCGCCCGCCTCCCGCCTCCCCCTGCCGCAGCCGCCTCCGCCCGGCTCCCGTTCCGCTCCCTCCTCTGCTGCCCCCGCTCTGGAGGCCCCGCCTTGGCCCGCGCTGCCCCGGGGGAGGCCCTCGCGCTGCCCCCGGAGAGGCCCTACCGCCGCACCCGCTCCCTTTGCTGCGCCGGACCAACCTGTCACTCGTCCGCGCGGCCGCGTCCCCACCTCCGCAGCCGGCCGCAGACCCTGCCAGGGCTGCCATTCTCCAGTCGAGTCATTCACTTTGCGCTGGACCTTTCATCTTGGCTTTTCTCTTTTCTTTAATTTCTTCCTTCCTAATTGGCCCCCTCTGGCTTTCCTCTTTGTGGACAGCTTGTTTCAGCTACTGTGTTCAGATTGGGATTCGAAGGCCGTGTTAGTTTAGCAGACTGTTGAGACTTTCTCGTCTTTGCATTCAGAAACCCAGAGAAATAGACGTTTACGAGTAAGAAACGTAAAAATCTCAAGCGCGAACTTTCTGAATCTCTGCCAATCTCTCCCCGCTCCCATCTTCCTCTTTCTGCCTGCTCTCTCTTCTACTACAAATAGAAACCTGTTTCCTAACTTTGCTAGAATCCTCAACTGTTAAGCAGAGGCCCGGTTGTTTTTACTCTTTGATCTTGTGTAAACGAGAAAACGTCAATAGTACCTGTTCAAATTAATCCCCGAAATTGAATTTTCATGGAAATGGCCCATGGCAGTGGTTCCCACTCACGGCATTTTAGAATCCCTGAAAGTGCTCGGACGGTAAACAGATAAGCTTCCCTGCAAGGTCAGGCGCTCTGGCTGGTGGGAACTGGGGAGGCTGGTTTGGGACACAGTTATGTCTATCTTTTAATAGTATAGACAAACAAATCTTAGCTGAGGTGCTAGGGAGCCCTCCTTGAAAGCCTGAGAAGGCTGCCCCTCCACCCCCTCCAACACATACACAACCAACAGGGCTGGATGGAGGATTTCTTTCTCTCTCTCTCTCTCTTTTTTTTTTTTTTCAGACGGAGTCTCGCTCTGTGGCCTAGCCTGGAGCGCAGTGGCGCGATCTCCACTTACTGCAAGCTCGATTCCCGGGTTCATGCCTTTCTGCCGCCTCAGCCTCCTGAGTAGCTGGGACTACAGTCGTCCGCCATCACCCCCAGCTAATTTTGTTTTTGTATTTTTAGTGAGACGGGGTTTCACCATGTTGGACATGATGGTCTCGATCTCCGGACCTCGTGATCCTCCTGCCTCGGTCTCCCAAAATGCTGGTGAGCCACCGCGCCTGGCCTGGATGGAGGATTTCTATGTACAGGATGATTTGAGCCCTTCTGCTGTTTCAGTTCTCACTCTCATTTTTCCTTTTTTTTTTTTTTTTAATGTTTTAGAGACACGATCTCACTTTGTCACCCAGGCTTCAGTGCAGTGGCATGATCACGGCCCACTGCAGCCTCAAACTCCTGCCTCAGACTCCGGAGGAGCTGGGTGTACAGGTCACCACACAGGGCTAATTTTTTGTTTGTTTGTTTTGTTTTGTTTCGTTTAGGTTTTTTCTTTTGTTTTTTTTTTGTTTTTTTTTTTTGGTAGAGATGGGATCTTGCTTTGTTGCCCAGGCTTGTCTTGAACTCCTGGCCTCAAATGATCCACCCGGCCTCTCAAAGTGCTGGGATTACAGGTGTGAGCCACCACACTCGGCCCTTTCGTTTCTTGTTACCCTCAGAAAAGAGACAGGCCACATTTGCTGTGGCTGCAGCTGCCTACCCACCCACCTGCCTCTCATCACATGCTCTAATCAGTTATGGCTTCTGTGTCTTTATGATGCTCTAATCCAAATATCACACCTTTCACAACACCACCAAAATAAAAACACGGCTCGAGGTGTGATCATATGTAATGTGCAAAATGGGCCCTCGGTTCTATAAAATCAAGTGCTTTTATAGCATTGGTTAGGCTACAAATTTTGTTATTTGACTTATTAGCTAATTCTGTTCTTGTCATTAAACATCCTGTTTGTTTTGTTTTGCCAACAGTACTCTCATGTGGTTACGATGGGGTAGCCCCAAACACATGTGACTAATAAGAACGAAACAGTAACATTATGTGTCCAGGATTCTAACTGAAAAATTGATTGGGGGCTCAGCTGAGGAAATAATGATGTCCCTTTATTAATCCCACCTCAATCACCGGTCTCTCTGAATCAGAAACTTCTTGTCCCAGCCAGCTGCTTCCAGTAGAGAGCCATGAATATGAGATAGCCAAGTTTTCAAGAAGAGGCCTGACAAAACTGAGGATGAATTAAGTGACCAAGTGTCCAAATGGCTTTGTTCTGTTAGATATTCTCAGAGATAGTGTTACAGGCCTGATAGAATGAGGGAGGAAAGCAGTTTCCAAGGGATTGCTGTCCTTTGTGAAGAAGAGCAATACCCATGCAGCTTGATGAGCTGAGTAATTCGAGAAAATATAGGGGACTTTGCAGGCGTTGAAGGAATATACAATTTATTTATTGCCAGTGCAATGAATTGTTGCGATTAACTTTTCTTCTTTCCTTCCTTCTTTGTTCCTTTCTTTCCTTCCTTCCTTCCCTTTGCCCTCCTTCTCCCCTTTCTCCCTCCCTCCTCCGTCTCTCTCCTTTTCCTCTTTCTCTCCCTCATTTCTTTCCTTCTTTCCTTTATTCCCTCCCTCCCTCTTTCCTTTCTTCCTTTCCACTTATTTTCCTTTTCCTTGCTTTCCTTTCCCTTCTCTTCCCATCCCCCCTTTTTCCCTTCCCTTCCCTTCACTTCCCTCCCCTCCCCCTCCCCTCCCTTCCCCTCCCCTCCCCTCCCTTCCCCTCCCCTCCCCTCCCTTCCTCTCTCCTTCCCTTCCCTTTCCCTTCTCTTTCTCTCCACTTCCCCTTGTTCTTCCCCTTCCCTTTTGCTTTTCCCTTCCTCTTTACTTTTCCATCCTTTCCTTTTTTCCAGGCTAGAGTGCAAGGCAGGAGCAGAAAGATCTCTGGTCAGGGACTGAAGTGACATGAGTGTAATCCAAGTTCCACCAGGGGCCAGTTTTGCAACTTTGAACAAGTCACTCAGTGTTACAGGCTCTTTGTTTTCTCACCTTTAAAAGGGAAGAGAGAGGATCTCTGAATGAATAGGAAGCCCAAAGCACTCTAGGAATATAGCACATTTCTGCTTTCATGCCCCGTTTTAACTGAGTTTGTTGCTTCCATTTTCTTCCTGTGTGCAAGAGTTAAATCCATCTGCTGAGGTACAGTCATATTTAGTAGCCGGTGTGAGAGTCTGAGCTTGGCCACAGGGCCAACCCTGAGCAATGCAGAGCAAGTGGGTTCCAGGCAGGATTCTAGGCCAGTCACCTTTCCTGTCCCTTTTGGCAGAATTAATCTTACCTTTATTTTCTCCCCAGAGAGTGGTTTATGTCTCTTGTAACAGTTAACTTTTTATGTCAACTTTTTTTATGTCCCTTAAACTTTTTTTTAATGTCAACTTTTTTTATGTCAACTGTTTTTTTAATGTCCCTTATAACAGTCAACTTTTTCATAGCTCTGCATTATCTGTACTCACCTCTGAAATGGTTGCTTATTTAAGGGCAATGGCTATGCTTTATTCATCCTTCTATTCTTAGAGCCAATAGGACCAATTGAGGAGGGAAAGGGAAAAGGAGGGAAGGAAGCAGCAATAGAAGGAGGGAAGGAAAGAAGGAGGGAGGGAGGGAGGGGAGAAAGAAAGGGAAGGCAATTCAGAGGGAGGGAGAGAAGAAATGCGAGGGAGGGAGAGAAGAAGAGCAAGGGAGGGAAGAAGGGAGAGAGGAAGGAAGGAAAGAGGGAAGGGAGGGAGGAAGAAAGGAAGTAAAGAAAGAGAAGAAGGTAGTGAGGGATGGAAAGAGGTAGAGAGGGAATGGGGGAGGGAAAGAAGAAGGATGAAAGAGAGGGAAAAAATGTAGGAAGGAAGGAAAGAAAGAATGAGGGAAGAGAAGAAAGGAAAGGGAAAGAAGGAAGGAATGAAGAGAGGGCAGGAGGAAGAGAAGAATTGAGGAAAAGAGGAAGGAAGAGAGAAAGTAAGAAGAGAGGGAAGAAGGAAAGGAAGGGAGGAAGGGAAAGAGGGAAGGAACAAAGAAGATAGGGAAAAGGAAGAAAAGAAAGATGAGAAGAAGAAGGATTGAAGAAAGGGAAGAAGGAAGGAAGGAGGGAAAGAAGAAGGATGGAAGAGGGAGGGAGGGAAGGAAGGAAAGCCAGAATTAGGAGAAATTCACTTATTATTTATACAATATTGGGCAAGTTCACAACCATCTCATTCAGTTTCTTACAATACTACTAGTCTTAGCAACCATTACTGTTTTTCATTTTGCCCATGGGAAACCATGCCTGAAAGAGGTTGAGACTTGACTAAGGTTACCCAGCTAATAAGGCAAGTGCCTGGTTGACAGTGACACCTGTGACTGCACTCCCAGTGTCCTGTCCCAGTACAGCTCCACTGCTGTCTCCTCCAAGTGGGCTGTGGCTCTATGACTTACTATTCTGGATTAACTGGCTCTCCCCAGCTTCTCTATCCAGCCAGAACTGCACGACCTCATGCACTAGGCCTTATATTCATCACAGCAGAGAAGCAACAGGTCATGCAAGGACCAGAGTGGGTTGTAGGGGCCTCGGGGGCAGTCCTGAGATGTCACTCCATCTTCATGTCCTCAGGCCAGGACCCCCTCTAACAGGGACTCATGTTTGCCCACGAATGAGAGAACACATTAACACATGCATGGCTGAGAAAGGATCCCTTGATGGATATTATACCAGACCCTGAGGAAGAAGAGTCAAGGAGCAGGTTTGCCTGGGAGGAAAACACAAGGGACCATGCCCCGGGAGGAGAGGCACCTCAGGGCACCCATTTGCAAATGAAATAGAAGAGAGGTAAGGAGCTCAGGTGTGCTCACAGAAGGATGAGACAAGGTCATCTGCTGCAACTGAGGGTGCCAGCTGCTTATGGTTTGAAAGTGGAAAAGAGACTGTGTGGAATAAAACATAAACGAAGTTAGGATGACTGCAGACCTGACCAGGAAACCAAGAAGGCCTTAATGGAACGCAGATCCAGCAAGGGAACCTTGCATATTTGCTCTATGGGGAGAACTGCTTGGGATGCCAAGGTGAGCCAGCTTTACAGGTGGCAGTGGAGAGAACTGGCAGACTGCTGCCACACCTCACCTTTACAGGTGAGGAGACAGTGTGGCTGCCCTGGGGAAGGAGGGCCTCCTGGGGACTGTGTGTTCCAGGCACAGCAGCTGCAGCAGTGTCTGCAGAAAACACAAAGGGCTCCCCACTCCTGCTCATGCACTCACTCCTCCCGCTGACTGCAGATTGCCTGAGCCCAAGGAGAAGAACTTTCCTTCATTTAGTTCACACCTTTGGCAAAGCCATTTAACTTGAATTCTGGGCTTGGGCCAGTGAAGGAAATGCTTTGAAACCATCTTTGAGGGTTAGAGGGAATAAAAGCCACTTCCACCTGAAATCAAGGGTCAGCAGGATCGTTGTGGTTCAGGCAGAAAGGTGACCATTAATGAGTGGGAGAGGCCACTTTGGTGCTCAGATGGCTTTTTATGGATATACACAGAGCAGGCCTGGCTGTTAAGGGAGCCACTAATTAAAGTTCTGCCCTGGAACGAGCTACCAGTCGGCAGGGCAACAGCTCCATTACTGCTTCCCCTTTTGATACATGTCTGTGGTTGAGAATTACTGTTCCCTGGGCTGACCTGCCGCACATGCTGCCTGATTACAGCACACCTTGGGGACTCATGCCTTCTGCTACGATGCCAAAAGTCAGCAGCATCTGTTCAGATAATCAAATGGATGACTCACAGATATTCTTCTGAAATCAGTGGCAAAATCTTACTCCTTGAAAAGAGGTTTCCAGGGATCCATTTTTCGTAGACTATAAAGTCATCCACTGTACTGGTATCACAGACCCCATAGATGTGGACTAAAAAGAAGTTTCAGAAACAATTGTTGTGAAACAAAGGCCTATCAAAGTTTACTACTCTAAGAAGTACAATAAGCAGTTGGTTTAGAATGGTTGGAATTGCAGATGGCATAGCACTGTGCAATAGTGGGAAAGGATCTAGATCCATAAGGCAGAGGTAAGAAGCTTCGGGTTGCATTTTTAAAGCTGTTTCCTCCTCTTACCTTTGGAGAGTTCCAAAGGAGGAAATCTGTGGCTAGTGCTGCATGCCATGTGGCCCTATTTGGACAGGATTTTTCTTTGGAGTCAATAAAGGGAACCTGAAATCCACTCTGGAGCCCTTCTGAGTTGGGATGTGTTTTCTCCTGACTTCTCTGGCCCATGGTCTTCCCAGGAGCCAGACACTGGACCTGGCTGTGATACCACAAGAGATGGAGTATTATTTATACCCTGTGGTCTATGTAGGGGATGCTTTGCTTGGCTGAGCACAGCAGAAAGCAGTGCAGGAAGGGGAGGGTGTTTCCAGGTGGGCTCATAATGAGTCAGTGGCTAAGAGAAAAAAAAACAAACTCTATTTTTAATTTGCTTTCACACCATGACAATCAACACAGAAAACTTCTGTGGCCAAATGTTTGGGGATTACCCCCAACCATAAAGCAAGCAATCAGTTTTGCAGTAGACACCAGCTGGGTGTCCTTCAGTTCAATTCTGACTCCGTCTATCTGGAGATAGCCTCAGATCCCACAGGTTGGGAAATCAGTCCCCAAGACTGCTCCCACTTCTGATGCCAATCTCAAGGCCCAGGTTGTTTTACCTGTGCTTCTGAATGACTGGCTATAAATTGGGGATCCCATAAGCCCCCTTCTTTGGTTTGATTAATTTACTAGAGTGGCTCACAGAACTCAGGGAAAGACTTTGTTTACCAGTTTATTATAAAGGATATCACAAAGGATACAGATGAAGAGATGCATAGGGCAAGGTGTGGGGGAAAAGGCATGGAACTTCCATGCCCTCTCCAGGTCCCCACCCTCATAGGAACCACTGCACATTCAGCTATCCTGAAGCTCTTCAAATGCTATCCTTTTGGGTTTTTATGGAGGCTTCGTTAGGCAGGCATGTAGGTTAAATCATGACAGACTCATTAAAATACAAAAAGACATTACTCTGGGGACTCTAAAGATTTTAGCAGATATATGCTAGGAAGCAGAGTTGAAGACCAAATATGTATTTCATAATATCACAGGGGCACATGCATCTTTGGTGGAGAGTCAGGAAAGTGGGTCTCCCAGGATGGCTTATCTCCTTGGTCCCAAGCTTGTTGAGCTCTAGAATATTCCCTGGTGTGCCAAGGGGACTTTGAAATTCTCTGGGGCACCTCAATTCTTTCCCAAGTATCACTAGCTATATGGGATAATGGCAGAACCTGAGGATGGGAGGTACAAGGGATTCCCTCTGTAAACAGATGGTCAGGAACCTGACTTCTCCCTGACGCTGCTTGAAGCTCTGACACTGGGCCTCATACTTGGGCTGAGACAGTGGGTGTGTGCTTCAGAAGAATCCTGGTCTCATTGTCACAAGGAGGTAAGTCCTTGTTCCAAACGACTTCTTCATGGGATCTAAACATGAGAACATATAGATATCTAGGACTTACGGGACAAGGACAATGACAGTGACCACCCCTACTCTATCTCACTTCTGTATTTCTAGCATCTAGAGCATGTAGCATCTATAGCATGCAGCAGGGGCACAATAAATGTTTACCGGATGAATTAACAAAGAATCACAAAACGACATGACACAAAGTGCTTTTTCCTACATCTCCGGTTACCAACCCCCTCCACTCCCTCACCCCTCTCCCTAAGCTCCCCACCTCCTCAACACCAACCCACTAGGACTGTACTTAATCATGCAAAACAGTTCTGCAAATACACTGAGCCCTAGGACACTGAGGGAGCACAGGCCTCCGTACTTCTCTGCCATTTTCCAGGCTTTTCCAGGCACCACTTCACGCCCTCACTCAGGAACATGCTAGCTAAGTTTTATCTCCAGCTATTGAAAGAAACTCCTTCCTTTCAGCACCAGGCATAAATAAGCCTGAAATTTCTCTGTGGTTCTGGGCCAAGAATTCTTGTTATATCACTTTTCTCATACCTTATGCATCCTAATTATTCCATACTCCCTAGTGATATTCAAGAAAACAATCCTTTGGAGGGCTATTGAGGAATTCAGCACCTGGTTTCCACCACTGGCCAGTGAAGAGATGCTCAGGAATCCATGGAATTTGAGAATGGAGAGATCTTCTCTATTTTATTCCTCTGGAGTTGGTATTATGTACTTAGTCATTGGCCTTTAACTTCATTCTTTACATCACATTATTCAATTTGGTCTATTATTCTAATAATTGATATTCTGTCTTCCAGCAAATTAAATAACCAGTCCCTGCTTGGGGTTCTCTGAGTTTCCTGGATCTGTGGTTTGATATCTGACATTAACTTGAGGAAATTCTCAGTCATTATTGTTTCACATATTTCTTCCATTCCTTTTTCTCTTTGTTCTCCGTCGGGAATTCCATTGCACATATATTGTTTCTTTTGTAGTTGTCTCAGATAATTGTCTCAATTCCATTCTATTGTTTTCAGTCATTTTTCTCTTCGCTTTTTAATTTTGGAAGTTTCTTCTGATATCCTCAAACTCAGGGATTCTTTTTTCAGCTATGTCCAGTCTACTATTTAATAATAATAAGCTCATCAAAGGCATTCTGCATTTCTCTAACAGTGGTTTTCTTCACTAGTGTTTCTTTTTGGTTAACCAAAATTTCTTAGAATTTCTATTTCTCTGCTTACATTGTTCAATTGTTCTTGCATGGTATTTACTTTACCCATTAGTCCCCTTTGCATATTAATTATAGTTGTTTTAAATTTCTGGTATTGAAATTCCAACATCCCTTCCATATCTGGTTCTGATGTCTGTTCTGTCTCTTCAAACTGTTTTTGTTTTGTTTTGTTTTGTTTTGTTTGCCTTTCAGTGTGCCTTGTAATTTTTTCTTGATAGCAGGGCATGATTTAATGCATGAAAGGAACTGTGTCAATTGGGCTTTAGTGCTGTGGTGGTAAGGTGTGGGGAGGGGAAACAAGGTATAGTCCTGTGAGTAGGTCTCAGTATGTGGCAAGCCTGTGCTTCTGGACTGTAAACTTCATCAAGTACTTCTCAATTTTTTATCCCCCTTTAGGTGGCACAGGATGGCTGGAGTGGGCTAGAGTTGGATATTCCCCTCACTCAAGGTAGTTAGACTCCAAGAAAACCCTGGCAGGCTAGGCTCTGGTTAACTAGTTTCTTCTGAAGGCAGGCCTTCTTCTTCCTGTTAAGAAGAGAATGCTCTGGTGTATTCAAAATAGTTCCTTTTCCCCTCCCCTTGCTGGAAGCAGGATCCTGTTTGATCTCTAGGAGGCAAAACTCACAAAAGTGTGCCCTTTTCCCCCCGTGCCTGGTGACTGGGTCTAGCCAGAGTTTTTACCTCCAGACTTGTCCACAATGAACCCCCGGCACTTCGTCAGTTACAGTTCAGATGTTTCTACCCTGGCACTGGTTCCATGGGGATTGCTCCTCCATGGATTACTGCTCTGGTAAATTGTTATTCACTTGTCTGTCTAATTTAGAGGCAGTGGTTTGGCCTGTGATCTCACTTCCCTGACAGATCTAAGAAGAGCTGTTTGTTGCTTTTTCAGTTCACTCAGCTTTTGACTTGTAAGAGTGTTGCAAAGACTTCTTCGCTCCTTATGTGCTGGACCAGAAACCAGAAGTTCACCAGTATCCTTTGAGTAAAATTTTTCAAATAGTTTCAAAGCCACCTTCTATACTTGTATTTAAATCATATTTCTGCCATGTGCCTCAAAGATATTGTTGCTGTTAATTCAGCATAGATTTTTTTTATGCTAATACCTATTTTGTTGGAGATTGTGCACTGAAAGACAGATATTGATATCTATTTGACAACAGATATATAAATGTTTGCCACCCGATATCCATTCTCTTTCTTCTGATAACACACACTGACCTGTTTTCCTCTAGAGAACCAACTCCTGCCCCAGTCTCAACACACCTGATTCTCAGTTGGAGCTGCCGGCTGCAGCAGGGGACCCCACCTGGCCAGCATTGTCATCCTTTGGTCATGCTGGATGTTCAAGGATGCTCCTGTGATCAATCCCGTTGAGACTGCAAAGGCTGGGTCCATCTTGAACCATATGAAAATAAAATATGCCTTTTATTTTTCCTACTAGACTTGAATCTTGTAAAAATTAAGGCTTTGCCTGCTAGGGTCACTGTAAGTTGTAGGTATGTTCTACCTGAAAGGGAGACACCACAGAAGAAAACTGAAGCAAGAAAAGAAGACAAATCAACTCCCGATAATGTGATGTGAGGTGTGAGGTCCTTGCAGGCTCAAAGAAGTTTCTAACTGGTTCTCTTTGTAATCACCAGAGCCAATTCACATCTTTTTTTTTCCCCCAAGCTTATTTGAATTGAAGTCTTCTGTCACTTGGAATTTCAGAAGCCCTGACAAATAAAATGGTTCATTAATTGAATCGGCTATATCACAATTCAAATGGTGGCCTGACAACATATCTGCAGATATCAAAATTCTACCATAATAATTAGACTATAAATGGTGTTTAGTCCTATTTTCAGTATTCTCAAAAGTGCTGTCTTAGAAATTAAGCCACCGCTTTTTCTGCACAAGAATTCCTTTCATGCCATCCCAGCAAATCTGCCTCTATGCGCTCAGATGCAGAACTGGTTCTGAATTGTGCAAAGAGCCACTATTGCCAGCTCTGCTCCATTTTTTTTCTGGCAGCCCCAGCGTCCAATCAAGATTTCTGGATCTTTTCCAATTATAACACCATTTGGAAATACTCAGCATTTTCCAGCCTTGAATAATGTATTGATCTCTTTAAAGTAGAAAATATTCTCACAGACCCCCAATGTTGACTTCAATTCTTTTTATTGTAATTTTACTTAAATATATATGCAAACATAAAACACTACAAACTGTTAGGCTTATAGCTTTTAGACAACTATAAAAATAAACTTACAGAACAGATATAATATAAACTACAAAACCAATGAAATGGAAACGAGCTACATTAGCTTACCAGGACAGAGCAGAGAGTATTCCCGAAGCTCCATGCCTGCTCAGCTTGGGAGGCCAATGTTTCTAATTACTCTTGAGTTCTGAGCTCAGCATTGTCAGAGGATTCCTGCCTAGCGGGGCCAGGATTCTCCAACATTTTTCTGTATTTAGATTATTTCAATGCTTCATTAGCATGGCTTCCCATAAAGTCACTGGCCTCTACTTAACATAACTGTAGCTGTTATTTATGAAGACTCTCTGCTGTGTCTTATTGAATCTGTGACTATTAAAATTGTACCAAAAGCAGTATCAGCATAATAATAAACATTTGAACTGTGAGAAACAAAATCACATGATGGCCCTCAGCAAGGTGATCATCTAAAGATCTAAAAGATGCTTATGTAATTTTAAACCAACTTTATTGAGGAATAGTTTACATACAATAAAATGTACAGACTTTATATGCTTGGATGAATTTTGACAAATATATACATTTGTAACAAACACACCAATCAAAATATACATTGTTACCCCTCAGTAACTTTCCTGTTGTCGATTTCAGTCAATATCCTATCTGACTGCCATGAAAGTTGTCAGAATCAAAATGGAGTCACTAATGTTAAGAAACCACTGACAAATAGAGCTGGGAAAGGCTATGAATAGAGACTTCTCATGCTTGTATGCCTGATAACAAAAAAGGCTACAAAAACCAAAACTTTGCACAAAGGCTATCACAACCCTACACAAAAAATCTTCCAGGACATCTGTCCAGCAACTGCCTGTCCAGCCTCTGGCTGGTGTCACCCTTGCTATTGATCTTTGTAGTCAAAGATAATTATTTAAAAGCAATTATGAAATTCTTCTCATTTTCCCTTTAAAATCCTTAGTTTTCCCTTACCTCCCTGAATACACACATAGTTTAGTATGACATGTCTACTCCCACTGCAATGCCCTATTCCTGGATAAATATCTTTTCTTTTAGAGAGCCTGACTCTGCTTGTTTTTTAGGTTGATACTGCCAAACCAACCCTTCACACACCCAATATCAGAAAATCACTTCCATTTTGCTCAAGGACTTCCTATACATGGAATCACATAGCATCATATAGTCTCTTTTGTGTCGTCTTTCACTCAATACTATGTTTTTGAGATCTATTCATGTGATTATGTACATTAGGAAACTGTTCATTTTTCTTGCTAAGTAGTGTCACATTGTATGGCTCTTCAAAAGTTTGTTTCTCCATTCACCTGTTAATGACATTTGGGTTGTTTTTGGGCTTTGGTTATTGGGAATAAACTGATATGTCTTCCTGTGGGTTTATGCTCTCTGAGAAGTGTAATTGCTGTATGTATGGTATATATATATAACCCTATAAGAAATTACTGAATTACTTTCCAAAATGTCTGGCCATGTGCTGTACTTCTACCAGCAGTATTTGAGAATTCCCATTGTTCTACTTCCTTGCCAATATTGATGTTATTAATCTTTTTGAATTTTAGCCAACCTAGTACATGTGAAGTAGCATCTCAGCTTACTTTTAATTTGCCTTTGCCTTCTAACTAGCCAATGTCAGACACTTTTTCATGTGCTTTTGGCCTTTTGTATATATTATGTTGTAAGGAGTCTATTTATAATTGCCTGTTTTTGAATAAAAACAAATTGATTATTTGTCTTTTTTCTTGAGTTTCTGGAGTTTATGCATTTTTTGGAGAGACATCCTTAGATATAAAAATTATAAATATTTTCCCCCATTTTCATTGTTTTTAATTTTTATTTTGCTTATTTCTTTAATTATTTATTTATTTAGTTTGAGACAGAGTCTCGCTCTGTCATACAGTCTGAAGTACAGTGGTACAATCTCGGCTCATTGCAACTCCATTTCCCAGGCTCAAGTGATTCTCCTGCCTCAGCCTCCCGAGTAGCTGGGATTACACGTCTGCACCACCACGCCTAGCTAATTTTTGTATTTTTAGTAGAGATGGGGTTTCACCATGTTGGCAAGGCTGGTCTCAAACTCCTGACCTCGTGATCCACCCACCTCGGCCTCCCCAAGTGCTGGGCCACCGTGCCCGGAACTTCATTGTTTTTAAAAAGTTTTAAAATCTTGTTCTTTCATTTTTTAACAATGAAGTGAAAACAAAGTTTAAAAACACCTGCATTTTTAAAGCCTCTTAAAAAGCAATAATTTATTTAACAAATTCCAACTTAAAAATTTTGTTTTCTTCATTATTCCTCGTTTCTTTTTGTCTTTTCTAGGATATTTTTGCCTGCTCTGAGGTCGAGAACAATTCTCTCCATGTTTTCTTCTGGATGCTGTATTGTTTTAGATTTTGTATTTAGGTCTATGATCTAGTTCAAGGTAATTTTGTGATGTATCCAGAGTTAGAAGTCAAGGTTTCTTTCTTCCATACAGATACCTACCCTTTCCATTATCATTTGTTGAGGACTGTCCTCATCCTCAGAGTAGACAAAAATATCCTAGAAAAGATAACTTTCTTTTCAATATTTTTCAAAATTCCATTAACTATCAAGTGAATTTGTCAGATACCTGTTCTGTTCCACAGCTTTAAAGATAGATTTGTATGCCAATGCCATTAGTTCCTTAATTAAATACCTTTATAATAAGCCTCGGAATCAGGTAGTGTCAGTCCTTTTGATTAAAAAAAAGTATTAGCTTTGAATTTATTAAGTATATTGCTTTGAATTTCCTTATGAGTAGCTGAAGCAATGTGTCAGCCTCTAGAGACATACTTGCAGGGGGTTATTGAGTCCACAGATCCATTGGGAGAGACCTGACATCTTAATAACATTGAATCTCTAATCTATGAACATAGTACATGTCTCTACATGTTAACTTGATTTTCTCTGTGAATTTTTTAACACAAAGTTCTAACACACAATTTTAAAAATTTATTACAAAGTATTTTCTGTTTTTAGATGTTATTATACATACCTTAAAGTTTTATTTTCCAATTGTTTCTTGCTAGTGTATAGTAATGAAATTGGTTTTAGCATATTGACCTTATGTCCTATCACCTGGGTTAATTCATTTATTAATTCTAGTAATTGCTTTGCATATGCTTTGTATTTTTTTAAGAAAGAAACTGTATTGGCATCAGATAAAGACAAGTTTAATTCTTTCTTTCAATCTTTATTTCTTTTTATTTTTAAATACTTCATTTCATTCTTTAGGGACCTGTAACACAATGTGGAATAAAAGGACTCGGAGCCTCACATTCATACATGGAAAATATTCAAAATGGATGATTAAATATAATAATGGCTGTAGGTTTTATTTGTGGATGTCCTTTTTAGGTTGAGGAAATTTCTTTCTTTTTTCCTTTGCGATTGTTTTTATAATAACTAAGTGTTGAATTTTGTCCAGTGCATTTTTTTGTATCTAATAAACTTATCATAGGAATTTTTTTCTTAATGTATAAATTATATTGATTTTTGAATGTTGAACACATGTTGCATTCCTGAGATAAACCCCACTTGGTCATAATGCTGCATTCAGTTTGCTAATATTTAATGATTTTCATGTTTATGTTCATAAGAAATATTGGTCTATAATTTCTTGTAAGATTTCAGTTAGCTTTTGCTTTTAAGGTAATTCTGGCTTCACAATGGAAATTGGGAAGCATTTTCTTATCCTGTCTTTTCTGAAAGAGTTTGTATATGACTGATACTATTTATTCTTTAAATGTTTGATAGAATTCACCAGTCAAGGCATCTGAGCCTAGAGGTCTCCTTATAAGTAGATGTTTAATTATAAATTCCATTTTTGAAATGACATATAACTATTCAGAATTTCTAATATTTTGGTAAATTGCTTTTTAAAGAAATTCAGTCAGTTTATCTAAGTTGTCAAGTTGTTTTGGCATAATATTCAAAATAAACCTTTGTTATCCTTTCAATATCTGAAAAATCTGTAGCTATCTTTCTAATTTCATCCCCTTGTTTTTAATTATTTTCTCTCACTTTTCTTAAAATTTCATTATTATTTTTAAAAACTCTTAGTTGGGCTCTGTTGATGTGTTCTGTAGTTTGTTTTTTATTTCATTGATATTTTGGGGGTAAATCTTGCTGTCTTTTTTGTAGATTTTTGTATTGGAAGCTTAGGTAACTGGTTTTGTACTCTCTTCTTCTATTGAAATGTAACCATTTAAAGCTATTGGTTTTATTTAAGGACCACCATATCTGCATCCCATAAATGTCAATATTTGTCTTCCCAACACTCAGTTGAAAATATTTTTAAATTATTCTGGAGGAGTTTTTTCTTCAACCTATTTCTCATTTAATGTCTGCTGCATAATCTCCAAATATTTGGAGAGTTTCTACATAATTTCTAGATAATTTTATAATTACTGACATTTATTTTTAATTTAATTTAAATGTGGCTAGAGAATATAATATTTACTATTTTCGTCCTTCCAAATGTGTTAAGACTGGTTTCAGGGTCCATCACATGTTTCATCTTGGTCTGTATTCCCTGAGCCCTGGGAAGGATTGTGCACTCTGTACATGTTAGGTGTGGTGTTCTGCAAGTGGCAATCAGAGCTGGTTGGTTGATGATATTATTCCCATCTTTTATATTCCTACTGATTTTTTGTTTATATTTTTTATCACTTATACAAGCTAGCCATTGAAATCTCAAACTATGACTGTGGGGTTGCTTTTAATACCTTTAGTTCTGTCCATTTTGCTTCATGCATTTTGAAACTACTTGTACACATGTAGGATTGTTAATACTTTCAATTATTTGAGTTCTAGTTGTTATAAAACGGTTCTTTTTATATCTGCTTATACTCCTTTTATAAAACCCTATTTTGTTTGTTACTAACACACTCACACCATTTTTCTTGTGCTTCCTCTTTGTATTACATATCTTTTTCCATTCCTTCAATCTTTCTGTATATCTTTGTATTTTATATACCTTTGTATTTAAAATTCATCTGGTAAACAGCATAAAGTGAGAAAGGCCAACTAGGCCATCCTGTGGCCTAAACATCTGTGCCTCTTCTTCCTTGTGTTTAAATAAAAATCTCTGGCCTTTATTTAAAGTGTTTAGTCCACTGTAATTATCAGTATAATTGGTTTTATGTCTATACCTTGCTACTTGTTTTCTCTTTGTCCTCATATTATTTGTTCCTTTGTTCTTCCCTTTTTGTGTTCTTGTGAGTTAATTTTTTAAGAGTGTTTTACTGTATCTCTTCTATTGGCTTTTTAGCTATATGTGCTTGTTCTACTTTTTTTATGGTTGCCATATGAATTACAGTATTATCCTTATCACACTACACCTTGATTAATGTTATTGCACTTTGTGAATAATGTAGGGACTTCACAATAATGTAACTTAATACATACCCTATCCCATTGTTCAGGCTATTACTGCACTGTGCGATATCTTACATCGACATGTTATAAGCACCACAACACATAGTTAATATTATTTTTTCTTTGAACAGTCAATTAAATTTTTCTTGAATGGGAAAAAAAGAAAAATAACATGTCTATTTACTCACATATTTTCTCTTTCCAGTATTCTTCATTTTTTTTCTGTAGAACCAAGTCTCCATCTAGAATCCCATTTTAGTCCATTTTCAACTTGAAAAACTTCCTTTAGCATGTCTTATACTATAAGTCCTCTAGAAACAAAATCTCTCAGCTTTTATTTATCTGAACATTTTACTTTCATTGCTGAAAATATCTATCACTGGAAATTAAATTCTAGGTTGACAGGTTTTTATTTTCCTTAGAACTCTGAAGATGTTGTTTCAGTGTTTTTATCTTTCATTGCTTTGAACGAGAAGTTCAGCAGTTTCCTAAATATTGGTTCCCTGTGTCTACTCTGCCTCCGTCTTTGGCCTGTTTTAAGATTTTCTTTATATCATTATTGTTAAGTTAACCACTTAACTATGCTGCTCCTAAGAGTCATTTCTTATGTATTTATTTATTTTGAGACAGAGTCTCACTCTGTAGTTTAGGCTGGAGTACAGCGGCACCATCTTGCCTCCCGAATAGCTGGGATTACAGGCACCCACCACTATGCCCAGCTATTTTTTGTATTTTTAGTAGAAACGGGGTTTTGCCATGTTGGCCAGGCTGGTCTGGAACTCCTGGCCTCAAGTGATCCACTGTGTCGGCCTCCCAAAGTGCTGGGATTACAGGCGTGAGCAACTGTACCTGGCCTATTCGTTTTTATTTTATTTTATTTTATTTTATTATTTTATTTTTGCCATGGAGTTTGCTCTTGTCACCCAGGCTGGAGTGCAGTGGCACCATCTCAGTTCACTGCAACCTCTGCCTCCTGGGTTCAAGCGATTCTCCTGCCTCAGCCTCCCAAGTAGCTGGGATTACAGCCATCCACCACCATGCCCAGCTAATTTTTATATTTTTAGTAGAGATGGGGTTTCGCCATGTTGGGCAGGCTGGTCTGAAACTCCTGACGGGATCCACTGGCCTCGGCCTCCCGAAGTGCTGGGATTACAGGTGTGAGCCACTGAGCCTGGCCCATTTTTATTTATCTTTTTTAAAGTTTGCTGAGCTTACAGTGTGTCTAGATTGCTGTTTTTGATCCAATTTTTAAAAGTTTTGGCCAACATTTTGTTTTGCAATCTTTCCTTCTACTTGGGCTCCAACTACACGTATTTCAGAATGCTCGACACTGTCCCCATGTCACTGAGGCTTTATTCATTTTTAAAAAAACAAATTTTTTTTCAGCCAGTAGTTCAATTTCAATGATTTCTATTGACTTATCTTCAGATTTACTTAATCCTCATTTCTCTGCGTCCAATCTGCTACTAATCCCATACAGTAAAATTTTATTTCAGATATTGTATGTTTTAGTTTTAATATGCTATTCTGTATAGTTTCCATGTCTCCTAAATTATTTGTCTGTTTATCCACCTTTCTTTATAGTTTTTTAAAAAATCAATCTCATTGCTATTTTAAATAACTTATCTGCTGATTCTAAAATCTGAGCCATCTGTTGGCTTGTTTCTATTGATTGACTGGATGTAATATATATATATCCTCCTTATTTCAGGAAATACCCTTTCCTCTGTTTGGCATCTATAAGTTAGGACTGACCAGTTTGAGCTGATCTGGAGTTGAGCTGCTTAAATAAAGTTTTATGGCTTTAATATATATAGCAGGGCCTTGAAATTCAAGCACCAAAAATTGCTTTCTTTGTTTATCTTCAGTTTTCACAGAAGTTTAATTGGGTTGGGGTTTGGTTGCATCTTTGCTTAAACTCAGCTCACCTGGCACTTCAAATGCTTTGAGGGTGAGCTCAGGCTCTTCCTCATGAAGGACTCCAGAGTCAAACAGAAGGAGATTGCTACACCTCAAAGGTGGGAGACCCAGAGACCACTGGGTTGCAAATCTGATGACTCAGAGATGTCCAGCTATGGAAACTGGGAAACCTTAAGGCTGAGATCTGGAAGCTGCAGGACTGTGAGACTCGGACAGTGAGAACTCATGATTTCTTTCTGTTCTCCAGCCCTCCTCCACCCTCTGTTAAATCCTTGGGTTACAGAATTACTGGGTGGAAGGGATTATCCTTGCCTCTGTGTTTTCTCCAGAGTCGGAGCTGACCTGCCTGTCCACAGGGGTGTCAGTAATTTGGATGGTTTTGCCTCACCCTAGCAGCTGTCTTTCCCTGGCCAGCCCATGCCTCTCCCATGCCTGCAGCCACCCTCAGTCATGATGAGAAAGTGCACTGTGCCCCTTGCTCACCTGGTCCATGCTTGCCTTCAGAAGTTTTAGCTCTTGCTGGTTTCTTTGCTTCCAAAGCTCCACGATGACTTTACAAAAAATTTTTAAAAACATTTCCTGTGCTTTTTGGTTAAGATGAGAGTGATTTTTTTTTTTACATCCTTCAAAATACTAACTGGAAGTGGAACTTGATTATATGATTTTAAAATTATTAGAAAAATGAAATTAAGACACTTATAATCAATGAAACAAATAAGACATCAAAATCTGTACCCCCAAATTCTCAGGGTCCTCAGGTCCCAGTTTTGGAAAAAATAGCTAATCATGACCCTCTAGGAGATGAAGTTCATAGGAATACTTCCTCACCCTCCAAGACTTTAAATAGAATATCAGGACAGACAGTAGCCAGCCCTCCTGGTTAGTGCAGCTAGATCCTTAGGGCCAGGGCTGGAGTCTGAGACAATAAGTAAGTGGCCAGGTTTCTTATCTTGGACTCTCTCCATTTGAGATTGCCAGATAAAATATGTAAAATACTGCATGAGGCATAATTATACTAAAAATATTGTTTGTTGTTTATTGGAAATTCAAATTTAACAGGACATCCTGTACTTTTCCTTGAAAAATCTGATAACCCTATTTCCATTGCATAATGCTGACTGTTTTATGCTAAGGATTTCTATAACAAGACATTAAAATGATGGGTTTTCCTTTTTTTCCTGAATCAAAAGGTAAAAAATGTGTATTTTAACTTTCTGCTCTTACATGTGACCAGAGCTTTGCTGGTAGAGTTTTGTTTTATAGTGGAATTAGTGGAATCACTTTATGTTCCTGGGTTCTAGGGAAAGGCCATAAGCAAATGTAATGATTTATGGAACTAAAATTTCTCTTATTGAACTGTAATCTCATTGAGAAAAGAAATGCACTATTCTTACTGATATTAAAATTTACATGAAGGACATTTAATAAAAATAAAATATGCTCATTTAAGGACATTTGAGTAATTATAAAAATGTATAAGAAAATAATCAATAATAATCTGACTACCTAAGAGAAACTCCTTCACATTTTAATGTATTCCTTTCATTCTACATTTTGATATAAGAAGGGCATCTGTGTGTGTGTGTGTGTGCACGTGTATGTAAAATATTTGTAGAATCACTATGTCTCAGACTCAAGCAGCCAGCCTATGACCACATATAGTCATATTTAAAGAAACAGCTATTTGTAATATCCTGCAAAGCAACTTTTAAATACTGACTCCGTACATATGTTTACACTCACATTTGCCTAAAGATGCAAAGCCTAAGATGTCACTCTGCTCTGTCTTAGTAATTGTTACACTAGAATCCTTGTTTCTTGGAATGATATATGCAATTGCAAACCTCCAGGATATAATCTCCCTAGTATCCCCCTACAGAATGCCCATCTGTTACAGTAACAGCAGTTAATTGCTTGCGTTTTTGCAGCTTTGAGCCAAGCCAATAACTGGCTTTAGTGTCCACAGTCATTTGCTGTCACTTGGAAGAGCTGTTAAGGCCATCTTGAGTGTCAGCCATCCATCACTGAAGAATATATAAAACTGACCTAGCAAGGAAGACACTCGAATCCTTAGAGCTAAGGATAGGCCATCGTAGTAGTTCAGAAACAGCCTTTGATTTATTGATTTATTGGAAGGTTAATTCTCTTCTACAACAATTTGCCACAGTGACAAATAGGGACTGTTAGAGACAATCTGGTGATACGTGCAGTTAGTATCTGTAGCCTTATCTTTGACTGATGCATGAAGATTTTCTGTTTTACTAATCAATATTGTTAGGTGACAGGTGACTGGACATATTTCTTTGCTTTGGAAAAACCCATCAAAAGAAAAGAAATCAATCTACAGATTACATAGGTTAGAGAACCACAGGACAAAAATTAAGGAGACCTATGCTCTTAAAGACAGAGTTACTTCCATAGGCAAAAATAGAGTTTATATTTTAAAGTCTTGATTAGCAGGAAGTCCCTTCTTATGTTCCAAACATTTTCTACCAAAATAATTTCAAAATTTTCAGGGATGCTTGCACGTCTCACAGATCCAACTGCCATGGGAACTGGCAAAGTCATTACTACAGTTGATTTCAAATTCACTGGGTAAAATTTATCCACCTAACAAGGCTCTGAGATTGAGCCATCCTCCTTCTTCTCTCCTGTTGTGGCTCTTTTCCAGCCTTCAGAAATGGCTCTTCCCTCTACATGTCCAGCTTCTTGAGGGAAGCAGTTCATAGCAGAACTCTTTGGGCTACAATGATGCAGGGTCTTTAGTTGTACCTTTTCTTTCCCAGAACCAAAAGACCCCACAGAGCTCCAGAGGAAGTTAGGCCAACGGTATTCAGGAGCCACACGTGTGGCCTGGAATCTCCCTGCTGGAGCAATTGGGGTTCTGCTGCAGAGGCTGGCTCCCCTTCCTCATTCATTTGTTGGGTCTTGGAACTCATAATTTTCCCCAGGCCTGGCTTCCCTTAGATCAGCCCTGGCATGAGCTGTGAAGTGGGAAGTGCTCCACCTTTCACCCCTGGATATCCCAGGTCTTTCCCAATCAGGGGTGGGAGCTCTATTGTGTAGGAAGGGTGGCAAGCATTCTAAGATAAGATATTGTACTAATACCCTGTGTCTCCTAAGAGGCCTCTTTTCCAGACAGTAGAGTTGAGAAGCAGCATCATTTAATGTTCCATGCCTGTCAAGCTCTCATCTCCACCCTCCTATTTTACCTCTCTTTCCCTCACCTTTGCTTTTATTTTCTTGCACAAATTCAGGGCCTTCATTTCACTAAAAAGTTCATTTACAGTTCCTGCCTGCATTTAATCACTTTCAGAGTGGCAATGACATGATTGAAGGGGATAGTCTTTGAAAACAAATTTGCCTGAATTTCCACCCGATTCCATCATTTATTACCTGTGTTATTAGGGGACAAATTTGGTGCTTTAGTTTTCAGCATTTACAAAATGGAGTCAGTCATGTCCACTTCAAACAGATAGGTGTGAAGATTATGTGATTTAATGCATATATTTTTTCATGCAAGGAAGGAATCTGCAGAGGATTTATATTCCTACTCTTCCTCTATTTTCTCCAGTTAATCTTTTGTAAGCAGTTGGGATTTTGGTGTGTGGAACATCTGATTAATTTACTACCAGCTCTGATCTAGTTGCAATGTTTTCTTCCACCTTGAGTTTTGAGAAGCAAGACTCAGTCCTTTGACTCAGGGTCCAAACCGTTCCTGCCTCTATGAGGCTGGAGCTGGCACTTGTCCTGGGAATTCTCAGACTCTACCATGGTCTGTCCTGGGCTGTATTCTGCATGGACTGTTCTTTCCTTTTCTTGGCCCTTTCTACGGATTGTGACCTGAGAGTCATCCATTAGAAGCCCTCAGTTAAATGCCATCTTTTCCACAAAACCTTTTCCAAATCACCCAGTTGGAGAAAGCACCATCTCAATATAAATATGACACTTTTCCTACACCATCTTCTTCCATGCATAAAATTCTTTCTCACATTTTATATAGCTGTTAAATAACTGTGTATTTGAGGAGTTGGTCTCTTTCCCCATTGCATAGTAAACCTGTGAGATCAGAATCTTCATCTGATCCATCTTTATTTTTTCGCAGAGCTTAGAAAATTGTCATACATGCAGAAGATACACTGTAAATGGTTTTAAGTAAATTGATTCATTTATTAAAATATAATGTACTTGCCCTCCCAGTCTCCCAGGATCTTTTGCCATCTTATATCCCTAAAAGTCTGTTTTTATTGATAAAGGTCTTTCTCTAGCCTCTAGCTAAAAATGTTCAAATAAGTTACGGCATACTCAAAGCAGCAGCTATTAAAAATAATAATGCTATTTTATTTATTACACAGAAGGCCTTGCATTCTAAAAGAAAAAGTAGAATATTAAAGGTATAGAATTGTTACATATGCATATGTGTATAAGCCTGGAAGGCTACAAACTAATATATGAATAGTGGTTCTTTCTGGTAAATGGAATTTTATGTGACTTTCTTCACGTTTGTTTATCTGTTTCCTGTTCTCTTACAATGGCTATATTACTTGAGGTTACGGAAAAAAAAGGAAAGGAATAAAATGAAATGCCACTGCTAATATGAATAAGAAAATAGAAATAGTATAATTTGGGGACATTCATATTTTTTCAAGGTGTAAGGAGCTGCTGCTTTGCAGTCCCGGGTGACCAGTAGGGATTCCCTCCTAGAGCAGGGGCCATGAGTTTTCAAAGCTGTACCTTCTCCATGACAGCTTCAACCCTGCAAGGCTTTTCTAAATTTTTTTTTCTTTTTGAGATGGAGTCTTGCTCTGTTGCTCAGACTGGAGTGCAGTGGCACAATCCCAGCCCACTGTGACCTCTGCCTCTCGGGTTCAAGCGATTCTCCTGCCTCAGCCTTCCTAGTAGCTGGGATTACAGGCATGTGCCATCACACACAGCTAATTTTTGTATTTTTAGTAGAGATGGGGTTTCACCATGTTGTCCAGGATGATCTCGAACTCCTAACTTCAAGTGATCCACTTGCCCCAGCCTCCCAAAGTGCTAGGATTACAGATGTGAAGCACTGCGCCCAGCCGGCTTTTCCAAATTGGAGTAAAGCTCTACAGAGGGGGTCTGATGTCTGCCTAATGCTGCACCCATATATACAGAAACAATACCAATAGCTATCTATACTATATTTAATAGCACAAGCAAGGAAAACCCTGATCTTTGAAAACTCATAGAAGTCTACAATTTATGAGCTGGACACGTTTATCAATATAGAACAAAGTTGGCATGAGACATAAAGTAGAGTTACATTTTCCAAGCAGAAAATACCCAAGAACTACTAGACTGTTGCTTACCTGAATGCCGTTTTGCGAATTCTTGACCATTTTATTGCCATCTCTTACTGCCACCTATAACACTTCCTCCTATGGGGGCTTTGTGCAGAGTGGAACAACCTTTGCTATTCAGGTCAGAAATCAAGAGATGTTTGTACCATTTTTATCCTCTATAATTTGTGTAACCAGGGGGGAAAACCACTATTTTGCAGCCACATATAAACACTTGGTTTTAATTAAAAACCGTATGCTGGGCTTTCTTAGTTCTTACCAAAATATAAGTAGAAGCTTTGGAAGCCTCGTTAAGACACAATTTTGGGAGGTCTGTGCTCCTGGTCATTGATTTTCCTGGAAAAGAATGTGTGCATGCAGAAACATCTTAGCATATCCTGTTATATATTATAAAATGCCATGCTATTTGTGATGCCCTTTTAAATTTTAAATTAGGAGCTAAATGCTCACCTGTTTCTTCTCATACTTTTAAATTCCTGTAATTATTCTTATTCAGCCTATTGATGTGGCATATTAAAGCAACAGTGCCTCCCTTGGTTTAAATGCCGATTGCACAGATGAGGACATTAACACAGGAGATTGCGGTGACTTATCCCCGGTCCCACAGGCATCATGATCAGACAGCTATTCGTTACTGAGTTGTCCGTGAAAGCCTTTCACCTTGCAGTGGCTTTTCCCACTTTCTCTTCCAACAACACTAGTAATAGGCCTTCCCGAATTTCCAGACTCAACACTCTTAAAGAATCACATTCCATCCAGTGCACTATAGTAATCAACATGTTTTACCCATTACAGTAATACTCCAGTTGACAGAATCAAAGCCACAACCCTCTCAGTGGGCCCAAGATGCAAAATTGCAGCCTGATGGGGTGATTCACCTGCTCCTCTGTCCCATAATCCTCCTGTCACCCGCTGGAGGCCACAGGTCCTTCTGGTGTCCTTCTTTGCTTATATGCCCTTGATGGAGGATGGTAGATGAAAGAGGGAGGTGGTGAAGAAGAGGGCATTTGGGGAACCTCTCTAATTTCAAGTTACTTTAAGACCTGGAATGCAAAAGTTGTTAGAATGAACATCTTGCCTTTTGACTGAACTAAGGGCAAAACTGGGCAGCCTTTCCTCCATAAGTATTCTGTTGTAGCGGTTTGTTTTTTAGAGTCCCTTTTCTTTTCTTTCTTTCTTTCTTTCTTTCTTTCTTTCTTTCTTTCTTTCTTTCTTTCTTTCTTTCTTTTTTTTTTTTTTTGAGACAGGGTCTTGCTCTGTCACCCAGGCTGGAGTGCAGTGGCACCATCTCAGCTCACTGCAAGCTCCACCTCCCAGGTGCATGCCATTCTCCTGCCTCAGCCTCCCAAGTAGCTGGGACTGCAGGTGTCCGCCACCATGCCCGGCTAATTTTTTCTATTTTTAGTAGAGACGGGGTTTCACCATGTTAGCTAGGATAGTCTCGATCTTCTGACCTCGTGATCCGCCTGCCTCAGCCTCCCAAAGTGCTGGGATTACAGGCGTGAGCCACCGCGCCTGGCCTAGAGTCCCTTTTCAGACTGGAGAAGTTCTCTTCAATTTTTAATTTGCTTTGCATTTTTATCATGAATATATGTTTAATTTAATCGGGTGTTCTATCTGTATCCATGAGATGATCCATTTTCTCTTCTTTAGTCTATTAATAAGATGAATTACATTGACTGACTTTCAGATTTCGAGCCAGCCAAACATACTTGATCATGACATATTAGCATTTTTACATATTGCTGGATTTTATTTGTAAGAATTTTTGAGGATTTATGCATCTATGTGCACAAATGCTATTGTTCTGTGGTTTTCTTATAGTATCCATTGTCTTTCATACTTTGAATGAGTTTGCATAGATTCGGTATGATAGTCATCCACCACATAAGGACATACTGGTCAATGATGGACTGTCGTATACACTATGGTGTCCCCATAAGATTATAATGGAGCTGACAAATTCCTATCGTCTAGTGGCATCATAGCCCTCATAATGTAGCATTACTCATGTGTTTGTAGTGATACTGATGTAAGCAAACCTACTGCACTGCCAGTTGTATAAAAGTATACCAAATACCATTAAGTAAATTACCTAATACTTGATAATCATAATAAATGACTATGTTAACTGGTTTATGCATTTACTATACAACACTTTTAATCATTATTTTACAGTTTACTCCTTCTACTTATAAAAAAACAGCCTAATCAGGTCCTTCAGGAGGCATCCAGAAGTAGGCATTGTTTTCATAGATGACAGCTCCCTGCCTGTCATTGCCCCTGAAGGGCTTCCAGTGAGACAAGATGTGGAGGTGGAAGATGTGATACTGATGCTCCTGACTCTGTGTAGGCCTAGACTAATGAGTGTGTTTGTTTCTGATAGAGTTTGTATATTTGCCCCCGCCTAAATCTCATGTAAATGTCATGTTGAATTGTCATCTTCAGTGCTGGAGGTGGGGCCTGGTGGGAGGTGCTTGGATCATGGAGGCGGGTTTCTTATGAATGGTTTAGTGCCATCCTCTTGGTGCTGTCCTGGTAATAGTGAGTGACTTCTGAGATCTGGCTGTTTACAAGTGCATGGTGCCTACTCCCACCTTACACTTGCTCCCATTCTCCTTATGTAATGTGCCTGCTTCAGCCATGAGTAAAAGCTTCCTGAGGCCTCCTTGGAGGTAGATGCCACTATGCTTCCTGTACAGCCTGCAGAACCATAAGCCAATTAAACCTCTTTTCTTATAAATTACCCAGCCTCAGATATTTCTTTATAACAATGCAAGAATGGCCTAACACAGTGTCTTAGTTAACAAAAAAGTTAGAAAAAATTAAAAAATAGAAAAAGCTTGCAGAATAAGGATATAAAGAAAGAAGAAGATATTTTTATATAGCTGTGCAATGTGTTTTGAGCTGTTATTATAAAAGAGGCACAAAGTTTAAAGTTAAAAAGTTTATAAAGTAAAAAAGTTAAGGTAAGCTAAAATTAATTTATTATTGAAGAAAGAAAAATATGTTATACATTCAGAATAGCCTAGGTGTACATTGTCTGTGAGGTCTACAGCAATAAACTGTAATGTCCCAGGCCTTCACATTCATTCACCACTCAGTCACTGGCTCACCCAGAGCAACCTTCAGTCCTGTAAAATCCATTCATAGTAAGTGCCCTATATAGGTGTACCATTTTTTATATTTTATATTTATATATTTTTATATTTGATATAAATTTTTATAAATTATATATATATTTTTATAAAATATATATAAAATTCTATACATTTATATATAATATATATAAGTTATTTTATATATATTATATATACATATATAATATATAAATATATATAAAATTTTGTATATATTTATATATATGATATATATAAATTTTATATATTTTTAATATATTTTTTATATTTTATATTTAAATATTTAAATATTTATATATTTTATATTTTAAACATTATCTTTACTGTTCCTTCTCTATGTTTAGGTATGTTTGGAAACATAAATACTTACCATTGTGTTACACTTGCCTATAGTATTCCATACAGTAAAATGCTGTACAGGTTTATAACCTAGAAGCAATAGGCCATATCCTATAGCCTAACTGTGTAGTAAGCTATACCTTCTAGATTTATATGTGCATTCTATGATGTTCACGAAATGATGAAATTGTCTACTGACACATTTTTCAGAACAGTGTCCCCCATCATTAAGCAACACATGACTGTATTTTGTTCTTAAATATGTGTTAGAATGGGACAGTAAAGGCATTTGTTTCTGGAGTTCCTTTGCTGGAAGTCTGTTAATTATTAATTAATTAATTTAAATAGATATAAAGAAATTCAGGTTATCTATTTGTTCTTGACAGAGTATGGCAGTCGGTTCCTTTAAAAATATTTAATTTCATTTAAACAGTTGAATTCATGAGTGTGGCATTTATAGTTTTATTATTAGTCTAATGTGTGTAGTCTGTAGTGATGTCACTACCTGTTCCTGATGTTTATAATTTTTTTCTTCCCTACTTTTTAGGTGGGCACTCTGATTAGAGGTTTTACAATTTTAGTTTATTAAAGAATCAGTTTTTTGTTTTATTGATTTTTCTCCATTGCTTTTCTATTTCAGTGTAATTGATTTCTGTGCTTATCTTTATTTTTCTTCCTCCTGTCTGCTTTGGATTTGATTTGTTATTCATTTTCCAGTTTTTCAAAGTGAAAAGTTAGAGAACTGATTTACTTTTCTTCTTTTGTGATATAAACATTTGATGCTATCAATTTTTCTTTAAGCACTGGTTTTGTATCCCACAAATTTCAATGCGTTGTGATTTTGTTTTCATTAAACTTAAGGTATTTCCTATTATCTTGTGTAACTGCTTCTTTGTGCTATGGGTTATGTAAAAGTATTTTTCAAATATTTGGATATTCCTATGTATATATTTTTCTGTTCATTTCTACTTTTTTCTTACTATGGTCCAAGAACATTGTTAGTATAATTTTAATATTTTGTATTTGTTAAAGGTTGTTTTTTGGCCAAGAATAAATTCTATTCTGGTGATCATTTCATGTGCACTTAAAAAATATGTATTTGCTGTTGTTGGAAGTGTTCTGTGCTTCTAATTCATCAAGTAGATAAAATTGGTTGATACTGTTGTTCAAGTCATCTATATATTCATGTATTTTCTGTCTATTTGTTTTACTAGTTACTAAGAAAGGAGTATTAAAGTCTGTAACTGCAACTGTGGATTTCTTTATCTATTTTTTCAGTTCATGTACATTGAAGCACCACTGTTAGGAGGAAAATTATGCAATGACCCTCCTGATCTCTGGCAATGCTACTTGTTTCAATGTCTATTTTCTCTGATAATTTGTATAGGTGCTTTAGCTTTCTTTTGATTTATATAGTAATCTTTTTATATCTTTAAACTTTTAATTCATTTATATATTTAGATTTAAAAGTGAGTGTTTTTTATATATAATATATTTAGGTTTTATTATTTCATCTGCTTTTATGGTCTCTGTCTTTTAAATGGAATATTTAGACCACTTATATTCTATATAGTTTTGATATAGTTGAATTATGATTTATTTTGCTAATTATTTTAAAATTTGTTACATCTCTTCACTTTATCATTTTGTACTTTTACTCTTTGCCTTAATTCAGTATATTTTCAATGATGCTCTTTTGCTTCTACTACTGGGTTATCATTTAGTGCTTTTAAAAAATGATTTTTAGTTATTTCTCCAGGGTTTAGGATATACATTTTGAATTAACTATATCCAATCATCAAATATTATATAATTTCCTATAGTGTAAAGAGCTCCCAACTGAATTCCCCATTTCTTTCTCCCAGTTTTTCTGATATCTTTCTGTATACTCTATATTTACATATACTATAACACACAATGCATTTTTACTCTAGCGGTTTTACACAAGTAATTACATTTTAGAACAATTAAAAATTTAAAAAAAGATTGAGTATTTACCACCATTTATATCACTTCTTGCACTCTTTATTTCTTTGTTTAGATCCAAGTTTCTATATGATATTCTATTCTTTTGTTCTGAATAATTTATTTTACCATTTCTTGGAGTGCAAGTCAGCTGTTAATGGATTTCCTAAGCTTTTGGTTGTCTGAAAAACTCTTTCATATTTTTTTAGAAAGATTTTCACTAGGTGTAGAATTCTAGGTTCATTGTTTTTGCAATTAGCACTTTAATAATATCATTTCATGTTCTCTCACTTTAAACGTTCTGATGATAAGTCTGCCGTCAAGATATTCTCGTTATCTTTAGTTTATGCCAGTTTGTATATCACTTATTTAGGAGTGTTTTGTTTGTTTACTTATTTGTGTTTATCTTGTTTAATATTTTCTGAGCTTCTGTCATATGTGATTTTGTGTCTCTTATGCTTTTTGACAATTCTCAATTATTATCCCTTTAAATATGTCTTTTGCCCCATTCTCTTTCTCTCTCTTTTATGACTCCAATCATATACACATACATGATAGCTTGATATTGTTCCTTACCTCTTGAATACTCTAGTCTGTATTATTTTTTCCCCCTGTTTTATTCTCTTTGTATTTCAGTTTGGATAATTTCTTTTGAAGTATCTTCAGTTTTACTGAGTCTTTACCCTGTCAATTTTACAGATGTGCCTGTTGAATCCATGTATTTTTCATTTTTGCTTCAATGTTAAGGTTTATTTCTGGCATTTCTGGTTAATTCTTTTTGGTAGTTTCCATGTGTCTTCTAAAATTCCCCATCCGTCCACGCATGTGTCTACCCTTTCCATGCAATCTTTTGACCTATTATAGTAGTTACTTTATTTCTTTGATCATTTCTACTTCTGGGTCATATATGTTTCCCTTTATTTTCTCTTTTTAGGAATTTATCTTATTTTTTTGCTTCTCTATGTGTCTCTTAATTTTTGGTTGAAAGCTAGGCATCCTATGTGGGACAGAAGAGATGGAAGTAAATAGTATTTGTGGCACAAACTGAGCATGCCTTCTGTTTTGCTAGGCTTTTAGTATGAGGCATTTAGTCTATGTAGTCAGGAATTGAGCTGGGTTTGGGGTTTATTGTTACTATGATTACCCTCAGTTCACCCCGGACTGTTTGATTTCTCTATATTACTTTGAGTTTAGGGTGGGGGCTAGGTTGCCAGGGGATTTTTCTTCATAATCCTGATCTACCACCAGCTTTCATCTTTCAATGTATGCCTACATCTTAGAGAGGACCAGTTTTTGTTATGTGTTTTGTACTTCACTCTCCTGGCTTTGGAATCCTCTTATTTGTGACTTGTTGCTTGCTAGCCTGGTGGGACATGGACAGAGGTGCTTTCTTCTATCCTGGCCTAGCCTTCATATTAGGCAATGCTTAGTCCCTGGTTTCTCTGTGATTTTTCTTCCACTGTGTTAGGGGGGTTTCTACTAGTCTGGGCCCAAGATTTTTTCAGCCTCTACTCTAGGTTTTTTCTTCTTGTTCCCTTTTCATAGCTGCAGTGGGTCTTCATCTATGTTCTGAGGATGACAGAGTTTGCTGCCCTTCCCCCAGCAGCTTAAGACTTTTGTTCTGCAGAGAAGGTGGGGACAAGGCTTTAGGTGGAACTCTGTGTCTTTCGTGCAGCAGCTACTGCTCTTCCCCGCAGGCCTGCAGCATGAGGCAGGCTTTCTTCTGTTTCTTGCTCTACCCCTCATTTTCTGTGAGTTTCTAGTGAAATTTCCAGAGAAGAGCCTGTGAGTGGGTAAAAAGTTTCTCTTTTTCTGCAGGTTCCGGGATTCTATGTTCTCGTGCTAGCCTACGCTCAGCATTTAGCAAGTGGTCATACGCTAACCTTTGGTTTCAGCTCTTTGGTTGCCCTGCTATCTCAGCTCTCTAATGGATTGAAGAAAAAGTTTGATTTTGTAGATTATCCTTTTTTTCTTATTGTTATAAGATTTGGAATAACATTTTTCAACTTCTTACATCTTAATTGAAAGTCAGAAAAAAGATCATTCAATTAATCCTTCATATTTTTCAGTTCTTGGAAGGTTTCTTGAATTATTTCACTGATGATTTTCTTGACTTTCTCTTAGTTATCTCTTTTTGGAAATCCTATTATTTGGCTTTTGGATTTTCTGAACTGAAACTTAATTTATTATCAGCAAAGCAGGAGAGAATAAAATCTTAGAAATAAAATCATATTAATTAAAGTTATATATTTAAAATAAAATAATTATAAATTAGAAAAAGTAAGTGAATGATATGATGAGAATAACTTTTCAGAATAAAAGCAGTAGATAAATTTATGAAAAATATATAATTGTTTTCAAAAACATTGTATACCTTCTGTATTTGCAGGTATTCTCAGTATGCTTGATTTTTAAAAATTTATATTTTTCTGTAATTTCAAAATATGTTACATAAGCATGAATTATATAATAGTAAAATTTTGCATATTAATTTAGATAGCTTAGAGACTTCAATTACATGAACCTTTAAGAACAATGTGAATGCAGGCTGGGCGCGGTGGCTCACACCTGTCATCCCAGCACTTTGGGAGGCCGAGGCGGGCGGATCACAAGGTCAGGAGATCGAGACCATCCTGGCTAACACGGTGAAACCCCGTCTCTACTAAAAATACAAAAAAAAAAAAAAATTAGCCAGGTGTAATGGTGGGTACCTGTAATCCCAGCTACTCGGGATGCTGAAGCAAGAGAATGGCGTGAACCCGGGAGGTGGAGCTGGCAGTGAGCAGAGATCACGCCACCGCACTCCAGCCTGGGCGACAGAGCGATACTCTGTATCGAAAAAAAAAAAAAAGGGTTTACAATTTCAAAACTTAAGTTACTTAATCGATACCATAATTTTTTTCCCTGTAAGAGTATCTTACGTCCACCAAAGTTATCTGACAAGCACCATTTTTCTAGATGGACTAACAGGAACTGTAAATTGTTTTCCTTCTGCAGCTAAGATGAGAAATGTCTACACAATTGCCACTTTAGCCGCACTATAAAATGTCGGTTCTCTCTTAATTGTTTCCCTGTCAAAGAAAAGGTAAAAGAAAGACATCAAGCACAGATCATCCTTAAATACCTTAAGTGCTTGTGGGGAATAAAAGGTTATTCTCATTTTTAACAGTGTAATACCAAAGTTTATTAGTATGTCGCATTTATTCTAGGCACTATGATTGATGCTAGGAATAAAGACAAAAATACCACACAGTCCTTGCTCTGGGATGATGTACATACTGAATGGGGGTGGGACCACAAGAAGAAGGTAATTGTGTTAGGTGATATGGTGAATGGTTTGACTTAGTATGGTGTCAAATCTGTGGTCTCACGTGGATGGAGATGGAGTGGGAGTGGGTGGGGGGATGGGGAGTGCTTAGGGCATGGCTTGAGAACAGCCAGATTTGTACATATTCATTACAGCATATGATGTTCTCCTTGACATCACTCCACTGCAACCACTGCACACAGCAAGCACATAGCTAGGAAGTCTGGTTGTCAGGCTGAACTCGTTTACTACTTAAGTGATTTGCTGCTTGCTTCTACTTAGCCTGAATTGAGCAGCAGGTAGAAGTTCCCTTTGCTTCATGTCTGCCCTCAACACTAGGGGTTGTAAATAATTTAACATGGCTTAGTTAATACTTAATTGCTAATGAAGCTGAGAAATGTTTATCTATTTATTTGTCATTCATGATTCATCTTCATTATTTGTTTAATTTGCTTGCCCATTTTTTTAGATTGTTTTTCTTATTGTTATTGAGGATAATATCTATTTCATATCTTTACCAAAGTTTTAGTTTGCCTTTTCACTCTTCATGAACTTTATTCTGATGAACAGAAGCTCTTAATTTTAATGTAGTCAATAAAGAAGCTATTAATTTTAATGTAGTCAATGTCTCCATCATTTTACTTTTTAAAAATTTGAAATAATTATAGAATCGGGCTCATGTGATCCTCCCATCTCAGCTTACCAAGTAGCTGAGACTACAGGTGCATGCCACCATGTCTGGCTAATTTGTTTTTTAATTTTCTTTTTTTTTGTAGAGCCAGAATTTCACTATTTTGCCTAGGCTGGTCTCAAATTCCTGGGTTCAAGCAATCCTTGCACCTCAGCCTCCTAAAGTGCTGGGATTACAGAGGTGAGCCACCACACCTGGCCCCAGTGGTTACATTTTACTCAACTGTAGTAAAATATCAAAACCAGGAAGATGACTTTGGTGTAATGCACGCGCACAGTTCTCTGGCATTTTATTGTGTAAGCCCATGCGTGTAACCACTACCACAATCAAGATACAGAACAATTCCATGAGCACACAGATAGCACTCCTGCTGCCCCTTTATTGTCATACCCCTCAACTAATCTCAACCCTTGGCAGCTACTAGTCTTTTTTCCCTTTGTGTGTGCGCATGCGTGTGTAGGTGTATTTGGTATTTTTTATTGAGTTGAAATTCAAATAACATAAATTTAGCCATTTGAAAGTGTATAATTCTGTGGCATTTAGTGTATTCACTGTTGTACAACCACCATCTCTATGTAGTTCCAAAACCTTCTCATCACCCTCAAAGGAAAGCCTGTACCCCATAAGCAGTTGCTCCCCATTCTCTCCTCTCCCCAGTTTCTCTGAACCCCTAACCTGCCATCTGTCTCTAGGGTTCACCTACTCTATATTATATAAATGGAATCACATGATTGTGAACTTTTATGTCTGGCTTTTCCTCACTTAGCATAAAGTTTTGTTGTTGTTTGTTTGTGGTTTTTTTTGGTTTGTTTGTTTGTTTTTTTGAGACAGAGTCTCGCTCCATCACCCAGGCTGGAGTACAGTGGCACGATCTTGGCTCACTGCAACCTCCACCTCCCGAGTATAAGCGATTCTCCTGCCTCAGCCTCCCGAGTAGCTGGGACTACAGGTGTGTGCCACCATAGTCAGCTCATTTTGTATTTTTAGTAGAGATGGGGTTTCACCATGTTGGCCAGGCTGGTCTTGAACTCCTGACTCTGTGATCTGCCTGCCTCGGCCTCCCAAAGTGTTGGGATTACAGGCGTGAGCCACCACGCCGGGCCTAGCATAAGGTTTTTGAGGGTCATCCACATTATAGTATGTATCAATACTTTGTTCTTTTTATGGTAGTATAATATTCCATAGTATCTATATACCACAATCTGTTTAGTCATTTTTCCATTGATGGATATTTGGACTGTTTCTGCCTTCTGGCTATTGTGAGGAGTGCTGCTACGAGAATATGTGCACATGTATTTGTTTGAATACCAGTTTTTAATTATTTTGGATATATAAGAGCAGAATTGCAGGATCACATGGTAATTACTGCTTAACTTTGTTAGGAACAAATTGCTTAGTTCAGCGACTGAACCATTTTACATTCCCATCAGCAATGTAGCGAGTCTAATTTCCTTAAATCCTTATCATCATTTATTTTTCATTTTTTAAAACAATTATAGGCTTCCCAGGCGGTATTAAGTAGTATTGCAATATTGCTTTAATTTGTGTTTGCCTAATGACAAAGGATTTTTCTTTCATATGCTTGTCGTCCACTTGTGTATCTCCTTTGGAGAAGTGTCTATTCAAATTCTTTGCATATTTTAAGATGGGGCTGTTTGTATTTTTGTTGTTGAGTTGTTATGTATTCTGGACATTAAGCCCTTATTAGATATATGCTTTGCAAATATTTTCTTCTATCCTATAGGTTGTATTTTCACTTTCTTAATGATACCTTTTGATGCACAAAAAATTTAATTTTGGTGAATTCTGGTTTATCTAATGTTTTCTGTGTTGTTTGTGCTCTTGGCATCCTGTCTAATTATCTAAGGCCATATCGTGAACATTTAGCCTTATGTTTTCTTCAAAGATTTTTATGGTTTTAACTCTTTTATTTATGTCATTGATCCATTTTAAGTTAAAATTTGAATATTATGTGAGGTAAGAATTGAACTTTACTTCTTTTGCATATAGATGTCTGATTGTCCTAGCACCATTTGCTGAAGAGACTGTTCTTTCTCTCCATTGAATGGACTTGGCACTTTCATTGAACATCATTTGGCTATAGATGTATGGGTTTATTTCTGGACTCAATTCCATTCTCTTGGTCTTTATGTCTATCATTATGCTAATACCATATTGTTTTGATTACTAAGCTCTGTAATGTTGGAAAGTGCATTAGTCAGGGTTCTCTAGTGGGACAGAGCTAATAGGTTCTATCTATCTATCTATCTATCTATCTATCTATCTATCTATCTATCTATGAAAGGGGAGTTTATTAAAGAATATTGATTTACATGATCACAAGGTGTAGTCCCACAATAATCCATCTGCAAGCTGAGAAGCAAGGAAGCCAGTCCAAGTCCCAAAACCTCATAAGTAGGGAAGCCGACAGTGTAGCCTTCAGTCCATGGCCAAAGGCCATAGAGCCCCTGGCTAACCATTGGTGTAAGTCCAAGAGTCCAAAAGCTGAAAAACTTGGAGTCTAGTGTTCGAGGGTAGGAAGCATCCCACACGAGAGAGAGATGAATGGGGGAAGACTCAGCAAGTCAAGTCCTTCCACCTTCTTCTGCCTGCTTTATTCTAGCTGCGCCGGCAGTTGATTAGACAGCGCCCACCCGGGTTGAGGGTGGGTCTGCCTCTCCCAGTCCACTGACTCAAATGTTAATCTCCTTTGGCAACAGCCTCACAGACACACCCAGGAACAATACTTTGCATTCTTCAATCCAATTAAGTTGACACTTAATATTAACCATCATAGAGACTGTGAGACTTTCAGCTTTTTAAAAAAATCTTTTTAAGATTGTTTTGCCGATTCTGAGTCCCTTGCAATTCCATATGAATGTAAGAATCAGCTTTTCCATTTCTGCCAAAAAATAAAAAAGGCCAATTAAATCTTGATAGGAATTGCAATGAATTTGTAGATTGCTTTGGTAGTATTATCCTCTTCACAATGTTAAGTCTTCCAGTTCATGAGCACAGGATGTCTTTCCATTTATTTAGGTCTTCCTCATTGTTTTCAACGATGATTTGTAGTTTTCATTGTATAAGATTTTATATCTTTGGTTAAATTTATTCCTAGTTTTTTTTTTTTTTTAATTTTGAATGCCATTGTAAATGAAAGTGTTTACTTAATTTCCTGGTTAGGAGAGCTCTTCTCCTGGCCAGTTACTGTTGACAGGTCTTCCCACTGATTCTTCTTGCTGGTTTTGCTAGCCTTGGTGATACTGTAAATGAATTATTACTCAGTCTCTGGGAGGAATGAGCTTACTTGGGCCACCTTCAGTTGCTGGGCTGGGGATCAGGAAATGTTGGGCCTGGTAAGTTCCAACAATGGTATGAACCTGTGGCAACAAAAATCTCTGTCAATATACAGAACATGACCATGGCTGTAATGCCTCTTCCTAGTAAATCCCTGCTAACCCCAGGCAACAACTTTTCTGATTTTTTTTTCTACTATAGGTTAGTTTTTCCTATTTCCGAACTTCATATAAATGGAATTACACTGTACGTACTCTTTTTTCAAAGGCTTCTTTCACACAGTATAATTATTTTGAGATTTTGTGTGTTTCTTCATTTTAATTGTTGAATAGGATTTCATTGTATATGTGGATGTACCACTATTGTTTTGTTCATTTCTCCATTAATGGATGTTTCTAGCTTTGGGCTAATGTGAATAAATCTGCTTCATTCTAGTATAATCTTTTTCTTTTGTAGACACATCTGGGGGTAGAATTGTTGGATGAATGTTTGGTGTTTTAAAAATAGCCAGTTCTTTTCCCAGAGTAGATGCATCAGCAATAGGTGAGAATTCTAGGGTTCCATGTCATTGCCAGCATTAGGTATTTTCAGTCTTTTAAATTTCAGCCATTGTAGTGGGTATGCAGTGATGAGTAATTTTAGTTTTAATTATTATGTCTTTGATGACTAATGATGGTGAGCAAAGTTTCATGTGTTTATGGGCCATGCATGTATCTTCCTTTATGAAATGTCTGCTCAAACCTTTTGCCTGTCTTTTCTTGGAAGTCTTCCTTTTATTAGTGAGCTGTAAGATTTATTTATATAGGCTGTATACTAGTCCTTTGTGAAATATATTGTTTGCTAATATTTTCTCTTAGCTAATATTTTCTGCTCATTCTTTTTAAAAATTATATCCCCTTATCAATAGAATTTTGAAATTTTGGTGAAGTTCATTGTTTCCTGTTATTGATTTGTTAGATTAACATTTGATTTATATAATTTGAGGTTATATTATTAGGTGACTTCACAATTTATTATTTTATTAGTCTTGTTGGATTTCACTTTTAAATTATTTGATACTAATCAGTATCTTATGATCTTCATGAACAAAATATGACCTGTGAATTCTTTAACTTGGGTTATTTCCTTTTCAACTTTTTATGCTATTTTTGCTGAATATTTTGGTTTTATCTTTTTTTTTAAACCCCACAAACTGGATAGAAATATTATTGCTTTATGTAATAAATTAGGTTACTAATTCATTTCTAACATAATTTTTAATCGTATTTTCTTGCTTTTCTGACTTTTCAGTTTGGATCATTAATCCCTAATGAAAATATAATCTTCAGAAGTTACTTATTTGTTGGTGGAAAAATCTCTCTTTTTTTCAGTAAAATATTTTTATTTCTGTTTTTGATTTTAGGATTCACTGTGATCCTGATTCTGAGAACCATTTTTTTCAACCACTCTAAAACATCCTCTATTATTATTATAACATATATTGCCTCACCTAATTCTTCTATGACCTTTCTAGAACTGTTATTAATAACTCTCCAAATAGATTAACCTCTTTTTTTATATTGTTTTAATACTTTATATTTGATATGCTTTGGCTTTGTGTCCCTCCCCAAATCTCATCTTGTAGCTCTGATAATTCTCACAGGTTGTGGGAGGGACTCAGTGGGAGATGATTGAATTATGGGGGCAGGTCTTTTCTGTGCTGTTCTCATGATAGTGAATAGGTCTCATGAGATCTGATGGTTTTAAAAATGGGAGTTGCCCTGCACAAGCTCTCTTTTTGCCTGCTGCCATCCATGTAAGATATAACTTCTCCTCTTTGCCTTCTGCCATGATTGTGAGGCCTTCCCAGCCATGTGGAACTGTGAGTCCAATTAAACCTCTTTCTTTTTTAAATTGCCCAGTCTCGGGTATGTCTTTATCAGCAATGTGAAAACAGACTAATACAATATTCTTCTTCTTGTGCTGTGTTCTGAATAATTTTTGATGATCTATATTCTTTTTTTTACTAATTTACTATATTTATGTCCAATTTCAATAATTTAAAAAAAATTTAAACTTTGAGAATGAAATGTATGAATTTTTTCCAAATCTACCAGTTCCCTTGCCCCTTAGTTATATTTCAAAACACCACTTTTGTTTTGGGACACAAGTTATAAGTATTTAGTTTCTATCTCCATTCCTTTTAATAACTGCATTATAAGTCTTTGCTTTTATGCACAATACATTGTTTTCTGGCATGTTTTGTAATTTTTTTCTTTGAGTGATTGAATTTTTTTAGAACAGTTCGGAAATTTATCTGTGGGTTGAAATACATACACCTTAAGGACATTTACTTCTGTCAATTACCTCTAACACCACCAACCCAAGACTACGTCCAGCTAAATTCTTCATCTAAGGGTTTTCAGGCACTCAGGTAGCACGAATTCTGTCTATGTACTCTGGTTAGGTTTGATGGGACATTTAAAAAAGGTTCTCCATGCAGCCTTCAGCTTAAAACAGACATGTTTCCTGTTATCTTATTCTGTGTTTCAGGGTTGCTTTGTTTTTTGGTGAATCAACATTTAACCTGCTGGCGTGATGTTCATGTCCCACCTGTAAACATAGGTCACCTTTTAGACTCCCAACCTTGCTCCCACCCTAGCTTTCACCACCTGTTTCTTGCAGAAATATTTTAAGGACAATACTGTTTAAATAGAAATTCTTCATGTTGCTAAGATGTGAGCCTCTCTGCCTTTCCTAAGAAGTCTTCAGTCAAGTTGGTTTAGTAGCTATTCTAGTTTTTTTGTGTGTGGCATTCTGTTCATATGTATAAGCTGAGACTCTATGCATGTAAGACAGATGGAGAGGACATTTGTAGGATTTCCAGACATCAACTATTAATTAATTATGTCAGTGAAAACAGGAGTTCAGAGCCAGAGATAACCTTAACAATGTCAGGCCTTTGAGAAATTTTCAAAAATGTTATGGAGAGCTTTGATTGCTATAGGCTGTAAACTATGTAGTATAAAATGTTTTATTTTATTTTAAACTATTTTAAGGTGTAGGGAACCCATTGAACTTTAATAAAAAATCATTTCCCAATATGGATTGTAGTTTTTGCTGTTTTTAAAAATTTTTTTGCCTCAATCTAATAATCTATTGCAAATGTTATATTCTGTTCTAAACTACTTGTGTATTAAAACCAGCTGCATCAGTTTGGAAGACACCATTTTTCTTTAACCCCTTGTTTTTGTTTATCCAGTGGCTATCAAAATTGGTGATAATGATCAACAAATAAAAAACCCTGGGAGTTATTGTTGGATTGATTGCAATTGAGTTTAGTTATATAAATTATCTTTCTTTCTTCTGTGAATTTGAATGAGGAAGATCTCTTTACACAATTTAGTATAATCACATTTCAAAATAATTTTTTAAACGTGAGCATATAATGGATTATAATTCCTACAGTACAGAATAACTAAAGGAAATAATTACTTTTATGAATGAAAACATTACCATAGGAATTATAATCTATTGACAAATAGTTCATATAATCCAGTGACAAACATCTCATGTTCTAACATTTGTTTGGATCTTTGTAAGTTGTAAAGTGTTACAGAAATGCTAGATTTTATTTAATTCAGACACTAATTTGGCCTTTTTTTCAAGCCTGTTGTTAATTGCTTTAGAAGAACCAAATGCCTGTCATCAAAAAGAAAATATAAGCAATCAGGCCTTGTGTAAGCATAGCAGGTGCAGAAAACAAAAAGTACTGGATGATGCCTAGCCACCAGCTTCTCTCTTAAAAAGACAATGTTAGAATTCAGTTTGTGATGGTACAGTATATTGAATGGATCTGCTTTGAATCGTTTGTACCTAGTTCAGGAGCCAATTTGCTTAATTGGGGTCATGTGTCTATTGTCTTAAAAAAACCTATCAGGAGAAATAGTTAATTTCTGAGGCAAATGGTATAATGTATGTGAACGTTATTTAAAAACCAGTCATTATATGAATATAAATTATTATTATAAATATTTCCATCAAAATATCTTTTGGTTCCTGAATTCTATCTGCAATTATTTTTCTTGATATCCAAATTTAAAATTCAACTATCAGAATTGAATGGTTTAACCTTGTTATACTTTCTGATCAATGACTGCATCTCAATTTCTTGATTGAAATGTTCATGATAATAGAATTATCACTTATTGCAATAATAGTTATTTTCAACTGCAGAAAATTGTTTTATTCTCTGCTCTATCCTAAGGAAAGTCAGCCTATAGATTAATGTTAGAAGCAGCACTTCCTCTCGTTTCTCCTTGTACACTCCAAGGCCACAGCCTGGGTTCTGTACTCAGACTCAACATCACGTAATTGATTATGAGGATATGAAAAGACACATCAAGATTAGTGTATTAAATGTTTAACACCAAACTATTTATAGTAGCAGAATATTGTAAACAACCTCTTTGTCAGTTTATATGGATTAAATAAAAGTTGATATATCCATATGTTAGAATATTATGTAGTGATCCAAATATTTAGGAGGGATTTTAAAGAGATTATATGCATGACATCATTTTCATTGAAAAAGTAGTAGCCAGGATCATTTGTACATTAGAATTTCAATTTTGTATAAAAGATTGGCAAGAATGCTGAATGGAATATACATAAAATGTTTCAATGGGTCTCTGAGGGGTGATATGTAGGTGATTTAAAATATTTTTTATACTTTTCTATTTTTTTCTATATTTTCAACAATGATCACCTACTGTTTTTATTATCAAGACAAAAGAATAAAATTTCATTACAAAATGTAAAGGATCTCTTCTGAGATGGACATCAGCTAATTATAGGCAAATCCAGCTGGCCACTTGAATTTCTAAATAAAATTTGATTGGAACACAGCCACTCCAATTTGTTTCTGTATTGTCTGTGGCTGCCTTTGGACCACAGTTGTAGAGTTGAGTAGCTGCAATGGAGACTGTGTGGCCCACAAAGCCTAAAATATTTACTATCTTGATTTTTACACAAAAAATTTTCTGATCCTAATTCTACAATATCACCTTGCCACTAATCTCATCCAGCAATTCCTATTGCCATATCTGAGAAGCCCTCAGCCAATGTTGCTCCTCCCTAAATGCTTGCTTATTTAAGACAGGTTCTTCTCCATGCAGACACTCACTGTAACTTTTGCGATCTTAGAGTCCACTCCTGCTCAGTCAGCCACTTCCAAGAGCCTCTGAGAGCCTGTTCACCAATTGCGCTCTGCTTGTAGCCATTGCTATCATCTGAGGACTCACATTCAGGCTCTTTGTGGTTGATGCTGTGCCTGGAATTCTTGTCCAGGCTTCTGCTGTTATGGAAGCTGGTGCAGACCCACTTACCTTTCCTGGGTTACCTGGATGCAGCCACTGCATGGACTTCTCTGTGTCCTGCTGAGTTGTATCAACCTCTTCATTTCTCTTCAAATGTTTACTCACTCTTTTTGGAGCCTAGTCTGTCTACCTTGAGACAACCCCATTTTTCTTGGCTGCCCTCTGTTATCCTCAGTGAGGGTTTTGCTACAGGATAACCTGTACCCAGGCACTAGAGCAATGAAAAAGAATCCTGGAAGTACATTAGGCACTATGGACTCATTGGCAGTGGGGGAAAAATTGATTTTCCTATTCACAAGGAATGTACATGGGTATTCACTATTTAATTTAAAAACAAAAACAAAACAAAACAGTAAGGTAACACACTAAAAAGGAAATATTGTGTTTCTGCTTGACTCACTCACCTACATAATTCAAATATGCTCCAGGTACTTTCTATACATTTTTCCTTTTAATTCTCCTAAGCACTCTGAGTATTATGATCTATTATGATATTTTATGGATTTCCTGGTGATAAATCAAACCTCTGAATGTTAATGCCATGAATTTAAGAACTCGCTATGCTGACTGATGTCAGGTCTTACACAAATGAGCTTTTGGGTTGTGGCCTTCCTTTAGAGATCCTCTCTGGACATTTTCTTGCTAATAGGACCATCTTTCTCGGTCTGTGGAGTTAGGATTTTTAGGCTATGTGAATCCAGCTTAGTCTTTAATGACTAGGAATCTTTCTCATCTGATTTATGGAAGGTATTTTGTATTGTTTCTAGTGTCTCTCATTTCGTTTTTTCACAGCTTTATTAAGGTATAATTGATGTATAAAAATCTGCACATATTTAATGTATACAATTTAATGAGTTTGCACACGTGCATACACCTGTGATACTATCACCACAACCAAAGTAATAAATACGTCCATGACCTTCAGAAGTTTCCTTATGTTCCTTTGCTTTTTTTGTGTGTGGTAAGTACACTTAATGTGAGATCTAGCCTTGTTTTATTCTGTTTGTCTTGCTATAAAGGAATACCTGAGGCTGGGTAATTTATGAAGAAAAGAGGTTTATTTGGCTCATGGTACAGCAAGCTGTACAAGAAGCACGGTGCCAGCATCTGCATCTGGTGAGGGCCTCAGGTTGTTTCCACTCATGGTGGAAAGGGAAGGGGAGCTGCCATGTGCAGAGATCACATGACAAGAGAAGAAGCAAAAGAGAGAGGGGAAGAAGATGCCAGACTCTTTAACAACCAATTCACAAGGAAACTAATAAGAGTGAGAACTCACTTATCCCCTCCCATGAAAAAAGGGCATTTGTCAGTTCATGAGGGATCTGTTCTCATGACCCAAACAACTTCCATTAGGCCCCACCTCTAACATTAGGATCAAATTTTAGCATGAGGTGTGCAGGGACAAACATCCAAACTGTTGAAACCCTCTTAAAATTTTGAGTGTGCAACACTGCATTGTTAACTATAGGCACCAAGTTGTATGGCAGACACTAGACCTTATTCATTTGTTTATCTGGGACTTTATACCCATTGTGCAACTTCCCATTTTCCCCAAACCCCCATCTCCTGGCAATTATCATTCTGTTTTTCTTAAAGAAATATCTGCACTCTTTAATTTATAACAGCATTATTCACAATAGTGGAATACCCTTCAACTCAACTGTCCATCAACAGATAAATGGTAAATAAAATGTGGTGTATTCCTTAATGAAATATTTTTCAGCCTTAAAAAAGAAGGAAATCCTTCCATTTGTGACAACATGGATAGACCTGGAAGACACATCCTCAGTGAAATAAGTCTGTCACAAATACTGCGTGATCCTACTTACATGAGGTATCTAAAATATCAAACACATGGAAGCTCTTCTTTCATTTTGCATAAAGCTTTCTGTGTTTTTTATATTCACAAGTCCCTATTATTTGGTTGTCCTGACATCATATGGTGTCTATAAAGGAATACCTGAGGCTGGATAATTTATGAAGAAAAATTTATGACACCATGTGGTGTCAGGACAACCAAATAATAGGGATTTATGGATATAAATCCATAATAATAATCAATGTATATTGACTCATTGATTAGTATCTGATGGAATTGTCGCTCTCCTTCAGATTTGGTTTTGGAATATTGTGTCCTTACCACCCATTTCCATATGCCCTGGGAAGAAAGGTCATTGATGTGGCCTTAGTTTTCTCTTGCATCCATCAGTTCTCAAGGTTTTCTTTACTCTCTAAGAATGAGCTCCTCCCACCAATCCACAATTTGATTTGAATTTTGCATATGTACTCAAAATTCTATAACACATTGCATTATCATTATGAGTCAAGAAATAAAATGGAATTCAGAAACATTTTGAGCTTTGTCAATGTCATTAGAAGAAAATACACAGGAAAATAGAAAATGTTCAGAGAAGCTCAATATTACCTCAGCATTCAGCCTCCCTGAAATCCCCCATGCTCAAGTAAGGTCTATGCTGAGTTATAATAACTGCTGAGCCTTGTAGACTCTCTTTTGGTAGCTGCTCCTTCCACACCATCTTTTATGTATCAGAAAAGATACCTTTTCCAACAATAGTAGACTTTTTAAGCACCCAAACCACACACAAGTTTATCACAATTCTCTCTTGAGAAGGAGAATGGCAACATTGCTGAATATGTATTTTATTTTATTTTATTTCTTGACTTTCCTTTTATTTTCCCAGATTGACTGCAATTCACTCACCTACGCTCTTAAGCCATTAATCATCCTTATGTGATATTTTTTCGCAAGAAGTGATGTCATGCCTGCATCCATTATTTAAAGTTGCCCTTCATATATCTGATTATGGACATCACATTCAGAAACAAATGCAAGATGGAGGTGTCATTTAGCTGAAGTCAGGAGAACACCAGATGTCCTGATGTTTGCTGCCCCTGCAATGGGTGTGAATTAAACTACACTTTCTTCTCTAGCACTGAGTTGAGGTAATGTTTTTACCATACCGGTCACTCACTCAGTCTGTTTTCTGTTTATGCCTCTGTAGGCATTGTCTTCTTTAGGAAGAGACTGGAGGATTTCTTTTGACTGAACTATCCAACAGCCTGCTCAGCACTCACTTCTATTGCAATGAGTAGCTAACCATGAGACCTTCCCTGAGACTCAGGCCAGGAGGTGTTGAGTGGTCTACTTAGCATAAGATGAAAAAGATGGAGAAGTCTGGGTGCAGTGGCTTACACTTGTAATCCCAGCACTTTGGGAGGCCGAGGTGACTGAATTGCTTGAGGCCAGGAGTTCAAGACCTGCCTACACAACATGGCAAAACCCCATTTCTACTAAAAATACAAAAATTAGCCAGGCTTGGTGGCACATATCTACAATCCCAGCTACTTGGGAGGCTGAGGCATGAGAATTGCTTGAACTGGGAGGTGGAGGTTGCAGTGAGCCCAGATCGCACCACTGCACTCCAGCCTGGGTGACAGAGCAAGACTCTGTCTTAAAAACAAAAACAAAAACCAAAACAAAACAAAAAGATGGAGAAGGATGGTACCTGGAAAACCTGGTAGTTGCTTTAGGAGAAGGCTCATTCTTCACTAGAAACTGGTCCAGGGTAACTTTTCTTATCTCTTACTTTGTCATATTAAGGTTTTTGGAACAGAATTATTGTTATTGGGATTAGTGATATTTTAAGGAAAGTGTTGTGGTTGGTTCTCAACAAGGAAGGCTAGCTGAAAACAGTCATATTGTAAACGAAATGATATATGACTTGGAGTGCTCACTGAGTCCAGGGCTTGCCCCTTAGCCCCTGGGCACTCAACGTTGTCAGAATCCTAAAACTAAGCAAGCTTGAGGAATGCAGAATCATGTTAACCAAACTCCAGAGAGAAAGAATTTTATACAATAGATACCAGTTATTCATCTGGAATTTGGAATAAAATAATGCCCAAGGACCGGATTTCCCTGTGGCATACATTGCTGGAGCCTCTACTCCCTGAGATCAATAAGTGGCATGGGAAGCCTTGTAAGTCAGAAGGTTACTTCTTGAGCTCAGAACTGAGATGATTTTATTGGCTAGGCTATCTTCATGCCTCCACGTTCACAGAAGGGGTTTATCTTTTTCCATTAGCAGAGTGCGCTCAACTCCATGGCCGGACACCTCCTTCTATGGGGAGGATACATGAGTCCTACAAAGTCTGCTTCCCTGGTTCTTCATTTCTAATGCTTTCATTGCTGACCAAACTTCTTGCAGGAAACTTTCCCCCTCTGAATTCAATAACATCTCAGTCAATTGTTTTCTTCACGTTCAGTCTCATTATATGAATGTATATCTTGCTATCCTCATTTCTTATATTTTTGTCTGTAGTAATTCTCAAAAGACAGCCTTAGTATAAGTTCAAGGTCACAGAGTTAGGGTGATGGCAGGGAGAAGATTTATTGCTGCCTCAGATTAGAGAACACCTTCCTCAGGAGGGGAAAAGAAAGATGCAAACGTGGGTTACACAGCCCTTCAACCCAAACAAAATTTAAAGTATATGCATCATGCATTTGCTGTTATTTCATTTTCCTTCTATATTGTGCCTCACTTCCTAGTCCCTAAATCCATCCTGTTCAAATCAGCTCTCTTTAATTCCAGTTACCCTGGCTATCCCTTACATGCCCAGTGTCTGAAGTTGTTCCCGTCTTTCTTGATATCAATCACCACCATTGAAATCTTTTATTTTCTTAAGTGAGAATTAGAAAACAAAGTCCATTTGGTCATGATAATGTACGATGAGTTCAGGTTGATCACATTAGCTATATTCAATCTAGGATTTCATAGGAAAGATACAAAGATGATTGGCCAATGCAGGATCTGAAAAGGTGAGCTTTAAAAGTGTGCTTCTTAGATTACCTTGTGGATGTCATTTTTTTTACTTTGGCCTCCCAGAATGAGGGTGATGAAATACAGAGTATGAAAAATCTAAAAGAGTATCATCGCTCATATTCAACATCATACTAGTCCTACCTAGTGCAATAAGACAAGAATAGGAAAGAAAATATACAGAAATTGGAAAGGAAGAAAGAACTGTCTTTATTCTTAGATTATATGATTTTCTATGTAGAATCGACGAGAAAATTCCTGGAATATAAATGATTATAGCAAGATTTAAGGATTCAGTGCTAATACATAAAAATCAAGTAATTTTCTATATATCAGCAATGAAGAATTATAATTTGAAATAGAAAATACAATAGTATCAAAAAATAAAATATTTAGGCCTACGTCTGGCAAAATATGTACAGGATCTTTATGGAGAATATTACAAAACCCTGATGAAAGAAATCAAACAAAATCTAAATCCTGATGAAAGAAATCAAACAAAATCTAAATAAGTGGATAGATATTCCAGGCTTATGAACTGGATGTTAACATGCCAGTCATCCCTAAATTGATCTATAGATGCAATGCAATCCCAATTAAAATCCCAGCAAGCAGTTGTGTAGACATTCGCAAACTGATTCTAATGTTTGTAGATGTAAGTGGTCTCTAACAGCCAACACAATATTGAGTAAAAACAAAGAGGACTGATACTCATTGACTTAAAGACTTACCATAAAGCTACAATAATTAAGACAGTGTGATATTGATGAGAGAATAGACAAATAGACAATAGGAATAGAGAGCCCAGAAACAGACCCAAATAAATATAGTCAACTGATCTTTGAAAAAGGAGCAAAGACAATACCATGGAGAAAAGATAGTCTTTCAAACAAATAATGTTGGAACAACTAAACAGCCACATGCAAATACAAATGAATCTAGGCATAGACCTCACATCTTTCAAAAAATTAACTTAAAATGCGTCATAGACATAAATGCAAAATGCAGAACCGTAAACTATCTTCAAGAAAATAGAAAACAAAAATCTAAATGAGCTTGAGTTTTTGTGATTTTAAAAATATATTGTGAAAAGTACAATCCTTTAAGAAAATATTGTTTATTTAAATATTATTACAATTACAAAATTCAGCTTTGTGGAAGACCATTAATAGAATAAAAATACAAGCCACAGTTCGGGAGAAAATATTTCCAAATGTCTTATATCCAACCTGTATGAAAATCAAGAAAAACAAAGCAGCAAATCAAGCATCATGATTAAATAATAAGCAAAAGATCTGATCAAACACCTCACCAAAGAAAAATACAATGGCAGATAGGCATAAGAAAAGATGTTCAACATCATTTGTCATTAGAAAAATCAACTTAAAATAAAAATCTGATACCGTTGCACACCTATTTGAATAGCTACAATTAAAAAAAAAACCTGGCAATACCAAATGTTATTTAAGATATAGGGCAATAGAAACACTCATTCATTTCTGGTGAAAATGCAGAGAATACAGTTACTTTGGAAGACAGTTTGGCAGTTTCTTACAAAGCTAAACATAGCCTTGCCATACATACTATATTAGTCTATATTCTGTTGCTTATAAGAGAATGCCTGAAACTGGGTAATTTATAAAGAAGAGAAATTTATTTCTTACAGTTACAGAGGCTGAGAAGTCCAAGGTTGAGGGGCTGCATCTGGTGAGCGCCTTCTTGCTGGTGGGGACTCTGCAGAGTACTAAGGTAGTGGAGGGAATCCCATGGTGACAGGCTGAGTGAATTAACATGTAAGTCAGGTCTCTCTTCCTCTTCTTATAAAGCCACCAGTTTCATCCCATTATAAATCATTCATTCATTAACACATTCATGGATTAATCCATTCGTGAGGGCAGAGCCCTCATAATACAATCACCTCTTAAAGTCCCAAACTTTCAATGTTGCCACATTGAAAATTAAGTTTCAACATGAATTTTGGAGGGGACATTTAAACCATAACAATTCAGCAGTTACACACCTAGGTAGCTTCCCAATTATTCTGAACACATGTTCATATAAAAACTTGCTTGAGAATGCTTATAACAACTTTATAATCACCCCAAACTGGAAGCAATCTAGGTGTCCTTCAATAGGTGAAGGGATAAAATACTTCTTTACATCCATGCAATAGAATATTATTTGGCATAAAAGGAGAGAAAAAATGAGCTCTTAAGTTATAAAAAGACATAAATGAATTGTAAATTCACATTGCTAAGTAAAAGAAAAACTTCATACTAAATGATCTCAATTATATGACATTATGGAGTGCAAAATTATATACAGAGTAAACAGATCAGTCATTTTCAGAGGTTTGGGGAAAGCAGGGATGGAGGGGGATGTTGAGTAAGTGAAGCCCAGGAGACTTTTGAGGTTGTGAAACTATTCTATATTCTACTGTAATGGTGGATACATGACATTGACTTTGTGAAAACCTGTAGAAATTTACGGCACAATGAGTTAACCTTAATGAATGAAAATTACAAAAAAAAAAAAAAAAAAGAAAATCACTGAAGAGATCAGAGGATTCCAGGATGGAATGCAGAATGTGAAAAAATCATCTAACTTGATTACAAATGCATGAAAACATCCCACTGAAGATGATAGATGAATAAGATGCTAAGCCAAAAATGAATGCAGTCTGTAAGACTAAAGGCAAAAGTAATTTTATATAAGCATTGCACTCTAGTTGTTAAGGTGTTTGCTACTGGGATATGAGTTAATCATTCTCATACAGATGGACCCTGACTTATGATGGTTTGGCTAATGATTTTTGGACTTTATAGTGTGTGAAAGCAGTACACATTGAGTACAAAGCATGCTTTGAATTTTGGTCTCTTATGTTTATTTTTACTATTATAGAATAGGCTTTGTGTTAGATGATTTTGCTTAACTATAGGCTAATGTAAATGTTCTGAGCATGTTTAAGGTAGGCAAAAGTAAGCTATGATGTTTGGTAAGTTAGGTGTATTAAATGCATTTTTAACGTGATATTTCCAATTTATGATGGGTTTATCAGGATGTAATACCATGGTAAGTTGAGGAGCATCTGTATTGTTATGCATGTATGCTGGAGTCAGATACCTAAGTAAATGGGTGATAGATGGTTGGATCCAGGTTTTTCATTGTTGGAGCTGGAATTACAGATCAACAAGGGGAGGAGGAGGCTAGAGTGATTCAAGTGGTAATGGATTAAGGTTAGAGACAATAGCGTAAATTCTTTTTTTTTTTTTTTTTTTTTTTCAGTACTGTGGCGCGATCTTGGCTCACTGCAACCTCCGCCTCCCAGGTTCAAGCAATTCTCTTGCCTCAGCCTCCTGAATATTTGGAACTACAGGCATGTGCCACCATGTCCAGCAAATTTTTTTTTTTTTTGGTAAGCCTTAATGCAAGTGTATCTGTAGTGAGTGGGGGCTAAGACAAAAGAAATTGGAAACCTTTAAAACTCTAAAGAGATTGTTCAGGAGGCATATATACTCTAATCAGATCCCAGTCCTGGGCTCTTTGGAAATGTACTTCTCCAACCAAGCCATAGAAAAATCCACAAGCCTGCTAGTTTTGTGTGGGGCCCAGACTGAAATAAGCTCTAGCAGTTCCAGGCTGTGATATGAACCTTCCTTCCACTTGAGCCCTAAGATCCAGTAGACTTAATGATGCTCAAGGAGAGGTCTCTAGTAAATAAGGATGGCCCTGGCCGTCCCTGAAATAAAAATCATGAGGCAGACCCTGGGGGGTTTAGAACAAAGCCATGCTTTCTTGTTGATGATGATACCCCTTTTAATAGACAGCTTCTTGCTTGCCATTGAGTCCTGGCAGAGACTGCCACTTGCCATGAAGCGCCAAGTGACTATAAATGGGTACAAATTTCATGTATATGCCCCGAATGCTGGTCTCGACATGTACCCATCATCTAGGAGCAAGTAGTCTGATCAAGCCATGTTATGTCAACAGATAACTTGCTTATGACTGGAAGAGAACCACCTTTAAGAATGGATTGCTATTCTATCAGATGGAGCGTATAATGAGCTAGGGCCTGGATATAAATAACTTTTGCAGGGGTTTTGCTTTATGTGCCTAAAATCCTGAAATCTGCTGGTCTAGAGATCCTAGTTTCCAAGAGAGGAATGCTTCCCCCTGTGGATACAACACTGGCCCCTTTCGGCCGAAAGTTGATACTGCTGCCTGGCTAATTTCGTCTCCTCTTGATTGTAAATCATTTGGCACATGAGGAAATTACTGTGCTATTTGGAATGATCAATCCCGGTTATTATATTAAATAGGGTAAATTGGATTGCTATTCACAATGACAGTAGTGATTAGATCTGGAAACTAGGGAATTCTCTAGAGTGCCTCTCAGTAATTCCAGGTTCAATGGTAAAAATCAATGGAAGACTTCATGACTCAGTAAAGTGAGGACCATTAAGGGACCCTACCAGGTGAAGAACACAAATCAGGGAAGTGCTAATTGAGGGCAAGAGTAACCTGGAATGGGTGTGGGTGACAGAAGTAATAAATATTAATCGCTCCCTCTTTACTAGTTACAGAAAAGGGGACTGAGACAATTACATATTTCTGTTGTATATGCAATAGCCAAACATTTCCTTTGCACTCCTGCATATGAGGAGTGTTGCTGCTATTTAGTTCAAAGATTATCAGACCACATAGAGTCATATCCACACCTCAAGCGGGGAATTGTAGATCCGTGGGACACTGGGTGTGAAGTGGATACGATGAGCAAGGGGGCTTGTCTTGTTTGGGGAAGGTGTGAACGTGTCTTCATTTATGCAACTGTTCGCTTGTGACACAGAGAAGAACAATTTTAAGTACAGGCAAATTGGCGAGAGCAAGAAGTGGGTAGCAAAGTATATGGGCTGTGCTGAGCTTGCCTCGTTCAGACCACTCTTCATCTTTCTCCTCCTCTGCTTGGTCTTGCAGAAGGGCTGATTCCTACAGGCTGAGTGTGAAGGATTCTGTGTCAACTGCCTCCTGTCTGAGTCAGTCAGTTAGGAGGCATTGGGGGATACTAGAGGACAGGAGGAAGGAAGAGAGAGCAGTATCATAGGCAATAGCAATATCTTGTCTATGTTTGCAGCTTCCGGCAGACAGACACATTGGAATTCCGGTTTTTGTGGGATGACTCTAGCTGCTGGGCTTCAGAAAAGCCTACTGCTTGTGTCCTTCTGGTCTAAGGGTTGAAAACGATGGCTTCCTGATATTGCCCATTTCTGGCATGCTTCACTGTGTTTCTTAGTCTTCTTAGCATTTTCATAACCTGAGTAACCAACTCCCTGAATTCAGTTCTCTTCATTTCGAGTACTTAAGGTGGCTTCTGGTTTCCTGGTTGGGCCCTAACTGACAGGGCTGGGTTCATGGGTGTGTAACCTAGGCAATTGCTCAGGGACCTGGCCTAGGAAGGGCTCGTGCTTGCTTTACTGCTCAGCTATTGCAGTATTGAAAAAAGAACCTTCAATTTCATTTTGCACTAGGCCTCATAGATTGTGCAGCTATTCTTGCTGATGAACACACTTGGAAAATCTTAGAATTGCTTGCTGTAATAGAACACGTCTAGAAGGGGTTTGTTCTTGACAGGTCACTTGCCAAGGCCTCTAGACATGGGATGGGTTGTTCACTCTGACATGTAGACAGAAGGGTCACCTAAAGCTTCTGTTAAGGACAGAAGCAATGAAAGTGACCAGGAAAGTGTCATAGAGCATAATGACTGAGGTGGTGAGGTCAGATTATAAACAAGATTGTAAATAACAGAGTGAGAAGCTGGAAGAATGGGCAATTGCTTGCTATGGGTGTCAGTGGTTTTGCTAGACCATGAGCAATGCAAGAATATTGCTAGACCATGAGCAATGCAAGGATACTGCAGATCCAGTGTTCATGGTGTTGAACGTCTTAAAATTCACACATTTTTTGCTCAGCCTATTTTCTTTTCTAGAGACACTATAGTATGAAAGACTTGGGTTTTTTCACACATATATTAATGCTGTTATTGGCTCGTCTGAGAAATATGTACAGTTTCTTCAATCTGTAGCCCAGCAGGCCAAGAAGTTCCAAAATAATGTTTGTACCTATACCAGGAATGAGTCCTTAAAAAAAATCAATCTTCTGCAATTGAGCCAGAAGAAGTCCAGCACTGCTGTCGTCTCCAAAGACAACATATTCTGAACCTAGAGCTCCTGCCTCCATCATCTTGATCCATTCACTCTATGAAGGAGATTTCTATCCAGAACATTATGAGGCTTACAAACCTTCAATGGAGAGAAGAAATTCAAGTCTTAGTGTCTAATAGCTATGGCACAGATGTTTGTCCCCTCCAAATCTCATGTTGAAATTTGATCTCCAGGGTAGGTGTTGGAGACTTAGGGACAGATTTGTCATGAATGGCTTGGTGCCATCTTCACAAAATGAGTTATCAACTATCAGGTCCGTTAGCTCTTGTGAGAGCTGGTTGTTAAATAGGGCCTTTCACCCCACTCCCTCTCTCTTGCTTCCTCTCTTGACATGTGATCTCTCAGCATGCCAGCTCCCCTTCACCTTCTACCATGAGTGGAAGCAGCCTGAGGCCCTCACTGACACAGATGCTGGCACCATGCTTCTTGTACAGCCTGCAGAACTGTGAGCCAAAGAAACATCTTTTCTCCATAAATTACCCAGCCTTAGATATTCCTTTATAAAACACAATCAGACTAAGACACTAATTTATAATGAAAATAATTGCCAACATTCATATAAGGCATGATATATTTCAGGTACCATGATAAACATGTTCCTTTTGTTGTCTTCATAAAAATTTCATGAGGTAAGACTATTGATATGCCCCTTTCACTGTTGAGAAAACTGAGGATCAGAGAATTTAAATAGTTTGTGCAAGGTTCCATAGACAGTAAATGTTGGAGTTGAGATTCCCACCCAGGCAGTATGCCTGCAGAAACAATTTCCTTAGCTAAGGGACTTAGTCCCTTGTTCGATGTAAAATGTAATTCTGGCCCAATTAACATAATTGTTTTTACTGAATATGGCTAAGAAGGTTAACATTATGGGATTAATTGCTTGGTTAATACAAACTCTTTATTTTAACCCCTGACCCACCACATGAGGAGCTCAGACCCTTCTCCTTACTCCTGTATCACCCTAGGTAGTACCCCACTGTTGCATTGCTTAGAACACTGGGTTTGTCCGTCTGCTAATCAGCCTGCCCTCTTCTTCAGTCCTGGGTCTCTTGAAGACAACAGTGTTGTAAATCTGATACCAGCCTTTAGAACAATGTCTAACACATAAAATCACGTCACACACATCAACTGAAAAGGTGGCTGAAAGACTATGTATAATTCTAGACTGGAATTTGGAGATCAAAAATGAGGTTCTGTCCCACTGCTCTCCTGAAGTTTGACTTCTGCCAGCCTCACCTTCTGTGCCCTCTGTCTTCACAACTGTTGACCACCCTCTTTGCAGTCTCCTCATTCCTAATGGTTGGCATTTTTTTAATGACAGTAGCTAAAAGGAGATTATTGTCTAGCTTAGATCTTTTTTTTTCCTTTGTTACTTTATTTTTTCTCTTCATTCTTGATTCCTCCAGAAATCAAAAACATCATAGGGAAGATTTAGGGAATCTTTAAAGCCTTTCCAAGCAACATAGTAACAGCATACTTCTAAGAAAGTTAAGTTCTGTCTTCAGGTAAGCCAGGGAATTTGAAGAGTTGAGTAGAGATACTTCGTTGATTCTGGGGAATCTAGATTTTTGGCAATCTTCCATACTCCCCACCCCTGCTTCCCTTTATTTCTCACATTTCTCATCTCAACCCCTGTCAAGTTACCATTTTCTTGACTGAAAAAGATTTGGGAGCCAGGAAAAAATACCATTCCTGTTTAGGAGTGTATTTTTTATTTCCACCTTCAAAGCTGTTTTTATAGTTTTTGCTTTTTCTCATTCCCCTCCAGCCCAGCTCCTGGGATGAGATGATTCCACAGAAACTGTTTCCTCATTTGCTGTGCCTTCTGAATCATAGGGTGATGTGATTAGTCACTCGTGAAAAAGGCCAAACTAAATCAAATTCGTATTCTGATCATGTGGAATCATTTCTCATGTACGAGGGCTGTAAGGTAGTATTGTGTAATGAAGCAAAACAAACAAACCCTCCTATGAAATATAATAAAAATCCTGACCGGCTCTGGTTAAATCCCAGGACATTCTTTAGATATGGAATCTCAGAAAAGTTTCTTTTTCTTTCTGAATCTTCTTTCTTTTTCCTGTAAAATGGAGGCACTATTGAATTGTGTCATTATTTAATTAAAACCTCCACCACCACCGTTCGCCTGGGTAAAGTATCTCTAATAGTGTCTAGCAAATACTAGGTGTTCCAGCCGTGCTAATGTGCTTGCCAGTTGTCTACATTAGAAATGAGACATCAAAAATTCACATAGTATAAGCACTTCATCCTTTTCCAGTATCCTAAACAGCTAGCTGTTCTGCCTTTGCTTGAAACTTCCAGTAATGAGTAACCCTCTGTCCCCCATGGCAGTCTATTCTTTTTTTTTTCATAAACCTATAACATAATCGCTTATTATTGTCAAGTATTATGTACTGTACATAATTGTATGTGCTATTCTTTTTTATTTATTTGTTTATTTTATTATACTTTAAGTTATAATAAATCTGCACAACATGCAGATTTGATACATATGTATACCTGTGCCATGTTGGTTTGCTGCAGCCATCAACTCATCATTTACATATTTCTTCTAATGCTATCCCTCCCCCAGCTCCCCACCTCCTGACAGGCACCAGTGTGTGATGTTCCCCGCCCTGTGTCCAAGTGATCTCATTGTTCAATTCCCACCTATGAGTAAGAACATGTGGTGTTTGGTTTTCTGTCCTTGTGACAGTTTGCTCAGAATGATGGTTTCCAGCTGGATCCATGTCCCTGCAAAGGACATGAACTCATCTTTTTATGGCTGCATAGTATTCCATGGTGTATATGTGCCACATATTCTTAATCCAGTCTATCATTGAGGGACATATGGGTTCGTTCCAAGTGTTTGCTATTGTGAATAGTGCCACAATAAACATATGTGTGCATGTGTCTTTATAGTAGCATGATTTATAATCCTTTGGGTATATACCCAGTAATGGGATTGCTGGGTCTAAGTCATAATAGTAGAGAGATCTTTTTTAGCATGAACTGAATAGACAGAGTAGCATTGGCCAGAGATTGCAGGCATGTGCCTCAGCCTCCTGTTTTCATACCCTGATGGCCCAGGGTAAAGTCTTGATGTTTCTGTTTACGTCACCCACCATCCCTGAAAAAGGAAAGATTATAAACTCTCTTATGCCTGAGAGTTTTGTAATAAAGTTTGAAACAGGCAAGAGATTAAATTAGCCTCATAAATCATGAAGCACAAGTTATAGCTGTGAAACAAGTTAATGGTTAAGAAGAACGTAGCTAGAATTTTGGTTTTTGTTTGACTGTTTTAACATTTCCTTTCCTACTTCTTTCTAAGAAAGACCAGTGTGGCTGTCAAAGTCTGAGATAGTACGCAAGGATCCCTGCCTCTTGGGGCTCACATACTTTGGTTAGATTTTCCTCTTGAGCATGGACTTTTATCCAATAGAATAAGGCCAAAAGAGATGTTATCTCCATGACTGAAGTTGGTACACTTGTAATGTGTGTCTTTCTAGAAGACTTTATGGTTCTATTAGATGATGGTTCCCAAACTAATTGGCTTGCTTGTAATCACTCAGGAGAACAGAGCATCTTTTGAATTTGTCCTTGGTTTGGTGCAAGGCCCACATACACAGGCACTGTACTATGGAGGCTGTGTTTGCAAGTGTGGCCTTGGGCCTGCCATGCCTTCCTACAGGCCTACCTGCACCTGCCACCTGCCCTGAGCCACAGCTTCACTGTGATGCCCTCTCATTAGTTTCCTCCTGTCTCCAGCTTTGGCACCACAGTTTATTGAGGCTTTTGTGGCTATCTTTTTTGTTGTTGTTTTTTGAGACGAGTTTCGTTCTTGTTGCCCAGGCTGGAGTACAATGGTGCAATCTCAGCTCACTGCAACCCCCACCTCCCAGGTTCAAGTGATTCTCCTGCCTCAGCCTCCCAAGTAGCTGGGATTACAGGCACCCACCACCACACCTGGCTAGTTTTTTGTATTTTTAGTAGAGACGGGGTTTCACTATGTTGGTCAGGCTGGTCTCGAACTCCTGACCTCAAGTGATCCACCTGCCTCAGCCTCCTAAAGTTTTGTGACTATCTTACTGCTCTACCTGCAGGCTCCTGGCACATTCCTTGACTTCCTGTTGAACATATCTTGGACACACTATGCATGCGTTAGATCCCCTTGGCCTGCTACCCTAAAGCCCTCTAGCAATGTGCCACATGGGCAGCCTCCAGTGGTCCTGGCCCAGGGTTGCCTGTATCTAATCCCTTTCTTGTGTCCTTTATTGTAGGTCTAGGTGTGAGAAACTTAAAAATAGTTTTTTCAAATAGGTACAAGGAAGAAAAAAAAAAAAAACAACTAGTTCTCCGCACCTACCAAACTAGTGGAGGAAATTTTATCCTTGTTAGTTTTCATTCTGCTATCTTTGTCACTGCTTCTTAGGTCGGTTGAGATGCTGGCATTCAATAAATTTGCTAATCATCCTGGCTTTTGTCCACTTGAAAAAATGATAAACATATTGCCCAAATATTCACATCCATAATACTTTTTTAGGACAAATCTGAACAACATATTGTGTTTTTCTCCAATGTAGTTTAAAAATTTGACATATTTTTCCCACATAGTTTTAAAGCATATACAACTAGAAGATTTGCCTTAACATTTAATGCAAGAGCTTGGGAGAAATATAAGACTCTTGTGCTTAAGAAATTACATCCAAATTACATCCAAATACACTGATTCTGCTTCTTTATGCTTAATGGATGATTAGGTGTTTTAGGCTTTAATTTTGGAAGGAATATAAAAGGTTATAGCATACACAGCATGAAAATGTATGTGACAAAATCTTTGCCAGATGTGAGCTGCATTTATTAGCATGGACTCTTCTTAAGCATAATACGAATCTAATGCCAAGTTTATGTTTACCTAAACTGATGATGTTCTGGATGGAGATGCTTAATCTACTCTATTACAAGAAGGGGGTGAAGCAGAAAAGTAGATGTGTGGCCTCTCCCTTCTTTCTCCCCTCCTTCTTCCTCAATGCCCTGCAAGAAGAAGCCAGGGATCTCACATCATACAGTCAGCGGCTTCTTAACCTGTCTCAGGGTATGTGAAGATGGATGGCAATTAAGAACATTCATCTGACTGGGCTAGAAACATGTCTCCACAGCACTGATCAGGGCTCCCAGCTTCTTTATTGCAGGTCATGAGGTAGTAATAACTTTCAGTCTTCACAGTGCAGAGCTATATACAAACTGAACAAGGAGAAAACGCTGTAGCTTTTTAAAAACCTATTCCTTGAGTCACTGATTCTTAAGAAACAATCCAATTTTCTTCCTGATTGTTGTGTTTTCAAAAGGATTGATAGTGGCTCATGCCTATGTGGAGAAGCCTTCGATGTGTCGCAACTGTGTGCCCACTTTAACAAGGTGGTGCCACACAATAGTAATATTCATGGTTCCCACATATTGAAAGGCATGATGCCTACTATACTCTTTCTTTAGAACCCACAACTTCCTTATTATGTAGGTATTAGTATTTTTCTCTTAAAAGCAAAAAAATAAAAAATAAAAAAAAGGAAGCTCAGAAGAGATACATGTTCCAATCTACATAACTACAAAGTCCCGTTATACAATGATAACAGCCCATTTTCCAACAGGCAAACTCAAACATAGTTTGGTAATGAAGCATGCTACAGTGTGAGACAAGCTTGGTACAGAGCTGTAAAAATACTTGTGTCAGTTTAAAAACAACAATAGGATTTCACATTTTTATTGAATGAAAATGTGTATATTAAATAAAAATTAGGCAGGTGGTTATTTAAACAGTTGTTCATTTGATTACAGTGAAAAAACATTTACAAAGATATAATCATATTGATTAACTTTGAGCAAGTTTGAAATCTGATCCTAGTGCCTTTTTGGTTTCTTTTTCTTTGAACACACATGTGTAAAAACTACAGGAACATTTATAGACTCACAAATTTCCCGGAGTTTGACAAATCTTCAGTACCAAATCACAGAAGTCATCTGCTTGAGTCAAGTATATGGATTCTATTTATTCTTCTCAGCCAGAATGGAAACTTTCTATTTCATAAATTTTTTTAGGAAAGGAAAAAAGTTATTCCCTAACTATGCATCCCAAAAGCTTACTTCTTCTAAATCTATCCTCCCATCAAAACTAATCTGACGGTTTTGATCCCCTGAGTAAAAGCTGTCAGTGGTTCCCCAGAAGCTACCTGTTGTTAAATTCTTTTAATGCTGTGGTAAGTTGGATGATTGGCCCCTGTTCTTCACCCCTCACTGTATCATACCCTCTGCCTCTTTGCTGCGGTATTCCTACCACAAAAGCAAAGTGTACTCACTCACCCCTTGACACTGGGCTGTGCCTTGTGACTTGATTTGGCCGTTGGGTTAACAGCTGACTTGGCACAAGCAGGGGCTTCCCTTGTGCTTGTGCAGTTGGGAGAGCTCCCTCATCCTTCTGCCACTGCCATGGGAAGGACATTCTGCAGTAGCAGCTGGTCCTGCATGAAGGTTGAAGGACACATGGAGGAGAGTCATCCTGGCTTATCCACTAATATGCAAACAAGACATAATTACTGAGTTTTGTGTGCCAGTGACATTTGAGATTGTTTGCTATGCAGTGACCTTAGACTGTTAGAAATTCTTTGCAGCACTTTCCAGGGTCTTGTCTCTTCTGATCCTTTGCTTCCCCTCTCCCCACTGGTGATTTTTCCGCAGTGACTCCCACAGGCTGGTGGCTCCTGAGCATGCCTCATCAGCTCATGTTGTTTCCCTGCCAGCCTGCATTCCTGCTGTGATTTTCCTGAGCCTTGAGTCCCCCTACTCCTTTCAGAGAAGATGATAACCACAGGGCTTAGGGGATTGGCTTTGCGTGTCAAATGGCCCTTCACGGTAGACACAGACCTAAGCTTCGGGCACATAACTGCTCCAACCTCAGTGCTCTTATCTGGAAAATATGGGCAATAATATCTCATAGGGTTTTTATGAAGATTATGTGTATTTAAATCACTGGTTGCTCTAGTTTAACGTGCTTAATAAGATTTGCGAATGTTAAGTGTTTTTACGTAAGATCCATGTAAAGGTCATCTTATCTTGACAATTACTTCTTCCGTTTTCCACTTTCCTGTATCCTTTCTCTCCAAATGTAGAAATCTTTGTACTGCATTGGGATTGGTGTGAGACCTTAAACACCGTAAGGCAGGAATATATTTCTTATTCTATGCTGGTTGGCACAGAGTAGGGGTTATGTCTTTCTTGTATTGAATTGAACTTTGCACTTGGATTATTGTCTCCTGGGGGGCCCTACCAGCAGATCGAAATTTCCTAGAGCAAATTCCATTACTTGTGTTCCATTTCAAGCCTCCCTCCCTCCTTACCTCTGACTGTGCATTCTGTTTACTTCTTATAACCAGGAACATTAATCATTTTTGTATGTTTTCCTCCAATGGGACATGATGGACATGATTATTCATATGCAGGAGTAAACAAACCCAGCTTGTTTCCTTCTGGGAACCAATAAACATAGAAGCTATTAATTTAGACTGGAGAACAGGAGTTTAAAAAGCTTTTCCCTTTTTAATGATGCATTCCCTGTAATTCTATAGTATTACATTCGGGAAGTAACATGAGAGTTTTCTTGTGGCTAATTTAACACCTGTTCTTGTATGGACAGGTCTTTGAATTTATTTTTAAATGCTGTTTTTTTTTTTTTTTTTTTTTTGCTTTTATACCATCAGTGCATTTGTCTTATTGCATTTCTACTGAAGAAAAGATAAGATTAAATATCTTTCACAAGAATTAAACAAAACCAAATTAAATGTAAGTTCTAGGTAGTGCTGTATCATTTAAACACTTTCATGAATACTGGATTGAGAACTGAATGAGCATCATCATTGATACACATAGTACTTCTGACAATTTTTGCAATCTTTTGGTACCTGTTTCTCTGTACAAATTATGAAGAAACAATTGAATTTTTTATAGCTTTTTGACATCTCAGAAGCGAATAGGTTTTAGGGATTTAAATTTCTGCGGAAGGAAGCATGGTGTATACAGTAGGAAAGAGTCCCCATTTAAAAGCCAAAGAAAAGTGCACCTGGGGAATTTGCTCATTAATTGTGTGAGAAAAATGTAAAAACATCTCCTCTGAGCCTTTTCTCAACCACAAGATGGAAATAATAATATGCTCGTCACAAACTGATTGTGGGACTAAATATAAAATTTTCTAAACATATCGGGTTCCTTCATTTGAATATTTGTTTGTTGAGAAACATGATAGAACTTACTTATCTGTGACTGGAGGGACAGATGCACCTGGGATTGCTGCCTTCAGCTTAGGTCAAATTGTGTCCGGAATTGGTGGGTTCTTGGTCTCAAGTGCTGGGTTCTTGGTCTCACTGACTTCAAGAATGAAGCCGCCAACCCTCGCGGTGAGTGTTACAGTTCTTAAAGGTGGCGTGTCCGGAGTTTGTTCCTTCTGATGTTCGGATGTGTTCCGAGTTTCTTCCTTCTGGTGGGTTTGTGGTCTGGCTGGCTCAGGAGTGAAGCTGCAGACCTTCACGGTGAGTGTTACAGCTCATAAAGGCAGTGTGGACCCAAAGAGTGACAGCGGCAAGACTTTTTGCAAAGAGCGAAAGAACAAAGCTTCCACAGTGCGGAAGGGGATCCGAGGGGGTTGCCACTGCTAGCTCGGGCAGCCTGCTTTTATTCTCTTATCTGGCCCCACCCTCATCCTGCTGATTGGTCCATTTTACAGAGAGCCGAGTGGTCTGTTTTGACAGGGCACTGATTGGTGCGTTTACAATCCCTGAGCTGGACACAAAGGTTCTCCACATCCCCACTACAGTAGCTAGATACAGAGTGTCCACACAAAGGTTCTCCAAGTCCCCACCAGAGTAGCTAGATACAGAGTGTCCACACAAAGGTTCTCCAAGTCCCCACCAGAGTAGCTAGATACAGTGTGGATTTGTGCATTCACAAACCCTGAGCTAGACACAGGGTGCTGATTGGTGTGTTCACAAACCTTGAGCTAGATACATAGTGCCCATTGGTGTATTTACAATCCCTTAGCTAGACATAAAGGTTCTCCAAGTCCCCACCAGACTCAGGAGCCCAGCTGGCTTCACCCAGTGGATCCCACACTGGGGCTGCAGGTGGAGCTGCCTGCCAGTCCCGCGCTGTGCACCCGCACTCCTCAGCCCTTGGGTGGGTGGTCGATGGGACTGGGCACCGTGGAGCAGGGGGCGGCACTCATTGGGGAGGCTGGGGCAGCACAGGAGCCCACGGAGGGTGGGGGAGGCTCAGGCATGGTGGGCTGCAGGTCCTGAGCCCTGCCCCGCGGGAAGGCAGCTAAGGCCCAGCGAGACATCTAGCGCAGTGCTGGTCGGCCAGCACTGCTGGGGGACCCAGCACACCCTCTGCAGCCACTGGCCCGGTTGCTAAGCCCCTCATTGCCTGGGGCCGGCAGAGCTGGCCGGCCGCTCCAAGTGCGGGCCCGTGGAGCCCACAGCCACCCAGAACTCATGCTGGCCCGCAAGCCCCACCCGCAGCCCCGGTTCCCGCCAGCACCTCTCCCTCCACACCTACCCACAAGCTGAGGGAGCCAGCTCTGGCCGCGGCCAGCCCAGGAAGGGGCTCCCACAGTGCAGCGGCAGGCTGAAGGGCTCCTCAAGTGCCATCAAAGTGGGAGCCCAGGCAGAGGAGGCACCTAGAGCGAGCGAGGGCTGTGAGGGCTGCCAGCACGCTGTCACCTCTCAAAATTAAATATTTTTCATTCACTATGTTACCTTGAGGAAGTCACTTAACTTTGTAACCTCAGGTTGGTCAGCTATAAAGAAAGTCAGTTATAAAACAAACTTTAAAGAGTTGAGTAGGAAATACGTCAGATGGTATAATTATCAATTAAATTAATAGCATTCCTTTTTTTGCACAGCTTTATTTAGATACAATTTATACACTGTAAAGTTCACCTGTGTAAAGTGTATGATACTATTGATACAAAATTGTGAAATCATCACCATAATCTAATTTTAGAACATTTTCATTACTCGGTAAAAGTATTTTATTTTTCTTCTAGCAAAGCATTGAATACCAGTTTGTCCACATCCTTGCTAACCCTTGTTTTTCTGTTTATCTACTTTAGTCATTCTAGTAGGGATGAGGTGCGATCTCATTGAGGCTTTGATTTGCATCATCTCAATGTCTAATGAGGATGAATATCTTTTTAGGTGCTTATTGGCCATTTGTATATCTTTTGGAGAAATGTCTATTCAAACACTTGTCTTCTTAATTCAACATTTGTCATCCTGCCCTGCCTTTTTCATACGCTGTTAAATGGCATTTATCACAGGTTACTAAAATTCCCTGACTCTAGTTTAACTGTGGCTTGGTGAAATAGAGTAGGGTTTGGAAGTTAGGCACATATATTCTTGATTCTATGTTGTTTGCAAATCACCTGACATTTTCTGAGCCTCAGTTTCTTTTTCTGTAAACATAAATAATAATACTTTTCTTACAAAGAGAATGATTAGATGAGATAATGTATGTAAAGGGGATACACACACACACACACACACACACACACACCCACACACACATATGCACAAGGCCCTGAACATAGAAGGAGATAAATAAATGGTTGTTCATTTTTCTTTCTCTTTCTTACTTGGGCCATGGGGTATAAATATAGAAAAAAAAAATCATAACAATTATTGGGCAACTTTCAGTTTCCCTTCTGTTCTGTTGAAACTTAGGAGTGCTTCATAGCACCCCACCAGTCTGGCACTGGGTAAACTCCAGGACAGTGCGGGACATTAATTGTAGGGCTGGAATCAAGAGAACACAATGGAGCGACAGGGCAGATCTATCCCAGACACCTCCAGGTTCAGGATGGAAAGGTGTGTAGTGTAGTCAGTGTTCTTGGTTGTAAATTGAAACAGAAAATACATGTATTCAGTAGGTATTGGGAGTTTTCAGGGTCCTCTTGAGGTGTTGTGGTCCAGGCTGGGAGAATGGCCAGGACTAGAACCCGGGAAGTCAGGCAGCTGAGGTAGTGCCTGGCTGGGATGGCACCACTGGCATGACCACACCATTTATGCTCTGCAGCCACTCCCTAGAATCTCCACCTGCCCTGGGCCTCTGCCTCACTCCCCTACCCCTGTGTTCATAGTCTTGGCTATGTCTGGAGTGAGATGGTGACTGGGCCCAGGTTACCTCCCATCTCCTGGCTGCTTAATGTGGGAGGGATGATCTGCTCTCTGATGGCTTCCTTAGGAAAAGGTGGGGAACTGCCTCTGCCAAGGGCAAACAATGAGAGGCTCCTCAGACAAGAAAAGGGTTCATTTCCTAGGAGTCCCCTAATGACAAATAACTAGTGAAGGATCCTAGGTTTTTGGTCTGTTTGTCAGGTGGGCAGGTGAAGAAATGAGTGAATGATTATATCCCCCTACAGATACTTGCAAAAGTGAATATTCGCTATGTAAGGCAATCAAGGTATTTGGCTTCCTTAGACTTGTACATCTAATAGCATACACCTGACATGTTTATATTCTTTTTACTTTGTCATGGCTTTTCTTTTCTTAGGGTCCACTGAAAAGAGAAATTTCAGTGACTAAGAGAAGCGACTTCCAATTCCCTCATTTGTGTAGGTTCTGGTTTTCCAGGAGATAGTGCACTAACAGGTTGGTATCAGAGCCTTCCCCAGGCTACATCCCCACCTCTCCTGCCATCATCTCCTGCCTGGCTGCCTGTCTCTCATCCTGTGCTTTCTGTCTTCAATAGAGTGGCCAGAATGACCTGCCAGCCCATTGCTCCAAAGGCCACGCTATGGGCTCTGCCCCCACCATCCCTTTCCCCACTTCTCCCTGGCTAATGTCAACTTAATTATCCAGGACCCAGCTCAGACATCACCTCCTGCTTTCTCCTAACTCTAGTTGCTTATCCATGTGTCTATTATAGCTACTTAATTGCTTGTGTGTGTAGATTCTCTTCTCTTAGATTACAAATTCCACAAAGGCTGAAAATAACTCATCAGCACTTGCTCTTAGTCTCACTCCTGCCACCAATCATCCAGCAGAGGATGTGATTCACAACACATATTCAATCCGGGAATACCGAACACGGTATTTCATTACTGTCAAGGAAGGCCTTAGAAACCCTGGGGCCGCCCAGGTCCAATTGTGTAGACTTCTACTTGTTCTCCCCAGGGATGGAAGCTGTCCCGAGGTCTCTCACCAACTTGTTCACTCTCACAATCCATTTTAGACTCCATAAGCAACAGATTAATTTGGCAGCCCAAAGACAATTTCCCACCAATGAGTCTTCTAATTCTTCCTTTCTGCTTTCATGTAAACATTTGCAGTTGCTGACACAACTTCTACTTAGCATTTATTTCTCTTTTTACCAAATTAGGCTACTTATTGCCTCATTTGCATATAAGACTCACTACTTGAGAAGTGTTCACAAATCACAATAATTAATACTTACTTGCACTCGATATTACCTATCTACAAGGCAATTTAAATTTATTAACTAAGTCAGCTAATTGGTAAACAAGTATAAACCATTGCCACGGTTATAGAGAGTAGGAAATTGAGATGTGGAGGCACTAAGTGATTTATTTAAGCCATTCAGCAAATGAACTGCAGAGAGGGAGTTTGCATTAGTCTGTTGTTGGCTCTCAGCCCCATATCTAGACAACTGGCACAGCCCAAGCCACACAAGCAACAGGGGGCAATTAGTTATTCAAATCAGGTAATTACAGACATAAATACTCATTGTCTCATGCCATGTCTGCTGGCCTGAGAAGGCCCATTTAGAGCCAGGTCTTGAAGGACTATGTTAACAAACTCAGCAGGACTTTGTGGCTCAACATCAATAGGAGAATAGACTATTAAGTTAGTGACTCTTGTCTACCACTGCGTTGCGTGAGGAATATCTGTGCTCTCAAATTCAGTATTGTCCTTAGTGAACTTCTCTTGTCATTTTTATACCAAATGATTTATCTCTTTGAGAAAAATAAGCAAATTCATCATGTAATTGGTAATTCAAATAAAACATTTTTTAAGATCTTCCTTTGTGGGCATTTGGGAAAAAGGTAAAGAAGACTCAGGTTCCTTCCTTATGAGAATTATCAAAAAGTGCTGCTGTGTTCCAGGTGTTTTTGCATGTGTGAAAATCTCTTATTTTCCTAGGAGAGCTCTGGGGGTTGCTACTTTTCTTATTTATAAATAGAGTCCAGAACAGATAAGCACATCTGCCCAGAATCAAAGGTAGAAATGAATTCTTGAAAATTTAGGCTTAGGTTTGTGTGATTTCAGATCTCATATATATTATAAGGTATATCAGGAATACAGGAAAGTGCACAGATCAAAAGTGATACATTTTCACCGACTGAAAACACTTAAGTAACCAACATCAGATTAAATCTTCCTAACAATGAAAGTTATAGTTTCAGGCACTTGTTAGGAGATAGTCCACTCTTCTAGAGATCACACACTTTTACTCACAGTTGTAAAGTGAAAGTGAGGACATACAGGCCAAGGAAATGACAAAGCCAACATTTGCTGCAGTAGAGCCTTGTGTGTGCACCTCTGGCTTGGTCTGAGCTGGGGTCACATGCTACCTTCACTTTCCTCTTCCACTGCTCCACACTGTTGGAGGCTCCCAGCTGCACTCAGGAGGTAACTAAGGCTTGGGGCACATTCTAATCTTCTTGAGTTCTCCAGAAAGCCAGCTACTTACTTATCCATGATGGACACAGGGGAAGAAATTACCCTGCATTTAGGAGATTTGGACATTGTTTGTTGGTAAAATACTTTCTGCTATGTCGTGGCCGCTTGTCAAGACCCAAGGCTACAAGAGCATAGACAAGGCATTAGGAGACATAGAAGGTAAAGAAAAAGAAAAACAGAGAAACTCTAAAATACAGAAAGTCTCTTCAGACATATTCATTCTACTATCTAGAGGCTGTGGGGTTCAATCAGCATGAAACACCACCTTTGCTGTAGCTGGTTTTTAATGCAGACAGTGGTGTGAAATATAGGGACATGACGCATAGTGCCTATTCTGTGATCAGCCCTCTCTGGGCTTCAGTCTCCACAAAACCTACAGTTTTGGATAAGATAATTTCTTCCCTGACTTTCAGCCCTAACGTGATCGTGTCTTGTTTAGTGAGGATGCACTGTAACAGGAATGTGGAGGATGGCAAAGACCCCTGATATAGCAGGGTCAAGAACATGGATTCTGGGGCCACTCATGCCTGTGCACAGATCCTGCCTCCAGAACTTCCTGGCCGTGCATTGTGAAGCAAATTGTTTAGACTTTCTGCGCATATCTTTTTTCATTTGTAACATAAGGACAGCAATAATAACTTCCGTAAAATATTTCTGTGGGAATTAAAAGAACTAACAAATCAGTCAGAGCAATGTCTGGCGTCTAACAAGCCCTCTCTAACAGTCTGAATTAGTGCTGGGCTCATGGATCATGTTCTCTAAGTCACCTGAGGGCAGGATTGGGACATTGTGGTTCACTGCCGGGCTCCTAGGACTTGGCATGGTGTCAGTACTTGGCAGGCACTAGTTGAATGGCTGAATCATTTTTTTAAGGAATGATATGTAGACCAGGGCTTCGTGCTAGGGCTCTGTTAACATTTCTACCATGACCCCATTGTCATCTTTGTTTATTCCTTTGAGCAGAATTTTATAGTTTTTTTTTTTATGTCTCTTATCCTAACATAGGAGAAACCCTAGATTGCTGTTCTCCAATGAAATGCAGGCATGACCTCTTGGTAAGTAGAATCCTGAACATCTGATCTAATTTCTTAGCCATATGTGGGTAGCTCTATGCTCCCTTGCTCTATCTGGCATCTGTGAATGAGAATGCCTTCCCATATTACACTGTAGAAAAGGAGGAGGGCAGGTGGTTGGTGTGAGAAATGAGAGAATAAGCGGCTGTTAAGAAGGGGTTGCACTGACCAGTGGGGAAGGAAGGAGTGTTTTGTAGCTCTGAGCATCTCTTTGCAACATTTGCTTTTGGTGTGGAGGTCACATCTGTGGCTCTAAAAAGGATGCTGGGGGTTGGATTAAAAGTGGAGACTGGGAGGGGCTTTTCAGTACTCCTGACTGTGGGCTGTTCTGGTCTTAGTGAGACCTGGAGTGAATCTGATGGGTGTTCTGGGAATAAAGTCAAAAACATAAAGTCTAGAAAGCAATCAAATTTAAATAAAATTATGACCACCCAGAAATAAATATAAGGAGTTAAATATGACTCTCAGTGAGAACATCAGACCACTTCATCTCTCACAGTGGAGAGCAGATCATCTCCTTTGATATTTCCTTTGCAGATTAATTTTTTGTTATTAAGAAGATAAATAGTACACAATCAACACTTCAATCTGGATAACATTGAAGGCAGCCGATTAATTTAAAATGAGAGAACTGCTCTCAGATGAACTTACCCTGCAAGAAGAGACTCATGTATCATGAAGAGAGAATCAGATTAAAATGGGCAAGGTTTGTAATAAAACTAAAATATCAGATGTCTGGGAATTTAGCCAGGAAGATGCTCCTAGCTTCAGTTTTTCCTGAGGAGAAAATACAATTATCGGGTATCCTGTAGTAGGTGTTTCTGTTAGGTAGGGCCCTATTCATTGATGAGAATGGTAGTTTTTCAAATAGAGATGTATTTGTATTTATTTGTGAAGTTTTAAAATTCATTATCTTGTGTGTACATGTAGCATGTTTGCTAGTTTTTTGCGGGACTATTTACATAGTGCAGGCTTGATAGGGCTAAATAAAACATTCTAAAAGTGTGTGAGATGATAACTAACACTGTATTGACCAATCACAGTCAGGACTAATATTACAGGTACCATCTTCTATATTTGAGGGATTAGGTATTGGTGTTTTATTTTTTATTTTATTTTAAGAAAACAACTAAAGAGAACAGGTATTACTCATATAAAACAGTCACATTGATAGACTGAATATTCATTATAAGGTGACAATCTCTCTATGGAATGTGTTGACAGGATATGCTATAATCTAAAAGCTCATGTTTATTCTCCTCTTCACTAATAATAATGTATCCACCATTCCAAAGATGAACACCTCTAATTTGTTTATGTGTTCCTTTGTCTACACCACCCACACATGGCATTTTATTTATTTATTTATATATATATCATCCAGGCTGGAGTGCGGTGGCGCAACCTTGGCTCATTGCAACCTCCACCTCCCAGGCTCAAGCGATTTTTGTGCCTCAGCCTCCCAAGTAGCTGGAACTAGAGATGTGTGCCACCATGCCTGGCTAAATTTTGTAGTTTTAGTAGACAGGGTTTCACCATGTGAGCCAGGCTAGTCTGAACTTCTGGTCTCAAGCAATCCACCCACCTTGGGCCTCCCAAAGTGCTGGAATTACAGATGTGAGCCATTCATTTTGTATAAGTATAATCATACTGTAAAGAGCCTTTTATATCAAAACATACCCATTTAAATTAAATCATTAGTAAATTCCATAATACTATGCATTTGGAATGCCTTTTTGGTAGGAAGTAATGAAGTGAGTAATAAAACATAGTGTAATTAAGGTTTCCTCTGTTATGGGACTTTTCCCCTTAAGTATTCTCTTTTACAATGCAGTGTCATCTCACCAGTGGCAAGTCTAGTTTTGTAGATGGGTTTACTTTGGAACCAGTCAGAAGTCGTTCGTACTCATATCTGGCATATAAAGAGGCTTGTGGTTTTTTTCCCCCCACAACTTAAGCAAATTCTTTAAACATTACAGGGCAGTCAGATGGGTGGCCTTCTCTGGAAGCACAGTCACTGGTCATCTAGCAGCAGACCTGCCGTGGAACTTTCTCCAGGTGTCCACTGGGATGACACTGAGTGAGAAGGATGTAGCATCAGAATAAAAGTGATAGAACCAGGAAATGTTGAAAGAGGAGACTTGACCGGTGAGGGAATATAGAGGAAGTTGTATTTTCCTTCATCAAATTGATGCCATTCCCGTCACTGTGTATGCCAGTCACGTGTTCTTAGGTGGGAAGACCCACCAGCCATTTAGGAGAGACGCCACCTAACCTAGACCAATCAGGTAATATGGGCCCCAGCCTTAGTGATGGGTCAGGAGAAGGGTTCGTGTCTTGAGATGATCCACGCACAGTGAAGTTGAACATGTTTTTATAATAGCTATGAGAAGAGACATATAGTTTCCCCCAGATGTGAAGCTTGAAGCCCTGTTACTACTGATAGCCTCTGTCTTGGGACAAAGGCAGCACATGTGGGTGGCAGGAGGAATTGCAGGGAAACAGCTGGAGCTCTTATGGCCTCCAGCAGACAGGGCAGGAAGCCTGCAGACCTCCAGACTGCTCAATCACTCAGCCGATAAAGCTCCCTTCTGATCTAAGATAGTTGTTACTTTTTTGTTTCTTCCGATTGAAAAGATTGTAGTGATACAGAAATGCTAGGTCATGCTGGCCTAAGGAGGAGAGATTATCTGAAGAAAAATAATGGTAAGGAGAGAGAGTCACCAGGATGGAAAAGACCAGCGAGCAGAAGTCACAGAAAAACAGACGGGATCTATATGTGAAAGGGAAGCGAAAATGGTGAGAATACTCTGTGGGGCTGGTTTTGCTGTCCCTTGTAAATAACTGAAGTTCAGACCAGTTAATTTTTGAATCCAATGTAAAGCATTGATTAAGTGATGAAGGCAGGAACTGAGCCCAGATCTGGCCAATTCCATGCTTTTTCTACTAAACATTTGCCTCGTTACCATTCACAGACAGCCCAGTGCCCAGCTGTAAGGGAAGATGTAGATGCTACTTCTGCAATAGGTGGGTTTACAAATTAGATATTCTGGAAGGACACGCTCTTTCACAGCCAACATTCAATGTGCGTAACCAGAAACAAAGAAAGTTGAAATTCAGCTGTTTAGGGGACTGGTTCAGGTGGGCATTGGGAACTTTGTACATGTGTGCAAACATGGGTGTATAAACACCTTCCTAAGGATGACTGTAAGGCACAAGCATTAGACCTAAGGCAGCACAGAGTTGATAAATACTTCAGTGGGGGAAGAAGTCCCAGGATTTTGTATTCTTCTATCATTGAATATTCTAGAGCTGGGTGGACTCCTTTACATCAACCATTCAGTGGGACAGAATATTTTGGATATTGATTTAATTCTGGAAATAGATGATAGCATGTCATCTGCAGCCCCAGCATCTGGGCAGCAGGTGTTCTGTAAAGTGCTTGCCAAGTGAAGACACAAGGGAATTCTTGTGAGAAAATCATTCACTCTGCTGACTTCCACCTGTAGCGGGGTTCACTCTAGGGACTAAAAGTCAAATGCATTTTTCCAGGAAAAAAGAACTTTATTGCATGTTTCTGTTGTACTATCATTTTTGACATACAATCCTTGATTTAGATGGACTCATTATGGAGGATTGAGAAATTTCAGTTGGTGGGTTATTCATGAGTCAAGGATCACAGAGACATATGGATGGTGACTGAATTCTGTAGGGGTTCAGCTACATAAACTTGAGTTATTTGTATGTATGATTAAAGGGAAGGAAAAGGAACCAAGAGTAATTTAGCATTTTTAGTGTGCCAGTCACAGTGCAAGAGGATTTATAACCATTACCTCATTTTGTCCTCACAATAATCTCATGAAGAAAGCAATGTCGCTGCCATTTTCTAGACAAGGAAAACGGGCTTTTGAGAGGACAAATAACACAGCTGAAGAAACGACATGTTGGATTTAATCCCATGTTTCTGGTTTCAAAGCTACTGCTTATCCCTCTTATGTTAGAGAAATCTAAGGTTTATGTCTGGTTCCTGAGATTCCAAAACCTGTACTCTTTGGTTAAGAAATTGAAATAAAAATATACAATAGAAGAGAATGATGCACTAATATGATACTGCACTTTGGTTAAGTGGAGTTTATATTATTGTTAAAATATTCGTAATACTAAACCCTTAACATTTAAAAAATCCATCCCAATTTAGCATGAATAAATTAGACCATAGTTTTGAGTACAAAACATAATTACAAATTAATTACAAAAAATTAGAATGAAGCTGAGAATTATAACTAGTATAAAAGTCTTTCAGTATTTAATTGTCCATTTGTAAAACAGAGGAAATTTACCTACATTTGAAATGACTTAAAGACCTAGTATATTACCTTGGATATTACTGACTGGTAGTAGGTTTTCAAGTATATTGAACATTTTTAACATCTAAATGGTGATTTGGTTTAATTGCAAGATATTAAGCTAAAACAAAAAGTTGGAGATGGGTCACACAAACTAAAGTTGTGCTAGTATTAAAAGGAAACACAAAACAATCATTTTAGCAATGCTTTTTAATTCTTTTCTCCCTTCTCCTTCTCCTTCTCCTTCTCCTCCTCCTCCTCCTCGTCCTCCTCCTCCTTCTTCTTCTTCTTCCTCCTCTACTTCTTCCTCTTCTTCCTCTACTTCTTCCTCTTCTTCTTCTTTCTTCTTCTTTTGTAAGTACTATGTCTTCTGACTAAAGTTTAGAAAATTCAGGTAAGAAAATCTCTAAAATGAAAATCACCAATAGTCAGAGCTCTTAACAATAACAAAACATATGAATGATTTTAGTGATAATATTTATGGAAACCTACCTATCGTTGACTCCCACACTTAGTGGTGCATGCTGTTCCCTCTTATCATCCCCACGGTGGAACCCTGGCAGCAGGTGACTTCCCCCGCCCTCCGCTCCTGCACTTGGTGTTGCTGTCAGAGGCTGCTGCTCCTCTGGGGATGCGTCGCCGCAGCGCTGCCAGCTCCTTCCTTAGCTCCTCAGACAGAGCTGAGCATGGAGGGTGTCAGGCTGGGGTCCTCATCACCGCGCTCCGCCCCCCAGGGACCCGTGTTGTATGGATTTATATTTGAAGGGGAAATCACTCAATTCCGTGCCTCTTAGATTCTGAACCACAGTTGAGAAACAGGCTTGGGAGCTAGGCAGGAATGAAAACATCAAAATTACTAGTCAAAGGGTAGTGATGATGAGGAGGTTTGGCCGAACGACTGGACTTTCTTTGATGAAATCACAGGCAGCCCAAGTTGAGAACCACGAGCCCTGCTAACACACCATGCCCTCTGGGCCTGCCCAGCTTCCTCTCCTGCTTAACGTGGAGCCAGGAGTGAGGAGAAGAGCACTGCTGTTGCTATACAGGAGAAAAGGAGGGCCGTGCACACCCTCAGCATCCTGTAAGTAAAGACATTCGACAGCGGGCACTGAAATTTTAATTTAGCATAGTGCTGCTTCGAGAGAAAGGTAGTGTAGCGCTGCTTTTAAAAAGCAGTAGAAAAGGCCCCACAAGTCATCATGAAAACCCGCGGAAGGCTTGCCAGGTGGAAAGTGCTCGGCTCTCTTGACTGCAGCAGCTCCCAGGGCTCGGCTGCCTACTGGAGTGACCTGAGTCGTGTTGGAAACAATGGATGACTGGGCTCCCCTCCAGATGTTCTGATTGAATTTATGTCGGACATCAGTGATATTTTAGCTGTTTGAACAATTCTCCCCAGGTGATTCCAATGTGTGGCTAAGGTTGAAAAAATCCAAAAGGACCTTCAAAATTATACCAATTTTATCTATTTAAAGTCTACAAAAAATCACGCAAAATCATGTGGCCCCCACGAAGGCAACAAGCATTGGATAGGAGCACGGAGAAGCAATGACCCTCCATGGTGGCTGGCAGTGATTTTCAGGGCCTTCCACTAACCAGCCTACAAGGCCCCTCCTGCTGCCCTTTGGGGAAAGACCTTTACTTCTAACTTGAGTCAGAAACAGACTCAACCACAATGAGGACAAAACATGCCTATTATGGGAGCAGCAGAGGATAATCGCTGACCATGACATTTGTTAAATAACACCCTTCCTGGGACTGTACTTAATTAGTAGAAGATATTTAAGTTGCACAGCAGCAGAAATCAAAACCTCCTTCACAATTCTATAGATAAGACGGAACAGGATTTATGTCGAATATTTAAGCCAAAGAACAGATCCCTGATGTAAGTGAGGCTCAAAGCAGTATGGACTAACACAGAGCAAAATCACTGTTGACACAGAAGCTTTGAAAAGAGGAAAATTCAAGAATTCAGACTGGGGCAATAATGGAGGCTAAGAGGGAAACCCGAGTTTTACCCCCAAATCCATCCAGGATGAAAGGCTTTTTCATTGTTCCCTGACCCTAGTTATGTTCTTTGGAACTCTTGGGTCTAATGACAAGTACTTCTCCCTGCTATAAGCCATTCCTTTCTCAGCCAGAGCAACTCTGCTTTTCATTATTCCACATATGAGGGTTTTGAATCAGATTTTTTGTTTGTTTGTTTGTTTAGGGAAAAATGTGTCTGGTGCTTTAAAAAAGCAGCTGGGAAGCCACTAGCTTAAGGGTAAATATATATTACTCCTATTCCAGAGTGGGTCCAATGATTGAAAACAAATCCTTTACTTGTCACCTTGTACCAAATTACAAGGGACATGAACTGCCATGGTTATTGCTCTAGACACGAGAATAGGCTGTGGGAGCCCCACCCTGAGTGCAGGACTTCAAGGGCCAAACAAGTTGGGTGATGCCCCCCACCAAAGAAAAACCTTCAACCTATGTAGTTCTTTCTAGCCTAGTAGGCTTCCTGCTGCACAACAACATATTTTTATGACTCATATTGAATCCACATTCAAACATTGTTTAGTATGCTAATCATCTAGGCACCAAAATAATAGAGGAAAGTGTTAATGTAAGCATGTTAGTTCACATCATATAGCTAAAATAATTGAAATGCAAGTGTGAGCCCCTCACATCCACAGAAGGTCATGCAAGTCAAATGAACTTGTTTATGTATACAATTAAAGACAGATGTTTGCAGCTGTTTTTTGCATATTATTTTTATAGTGACAAATTATAATTGTATTTATTTATGGGGTACAAAGTGATGTTATGATGTATGTACCCAGTGTGGAATGATTACATCAAACTAACATATCCATCATCTCAAATACTTATCATTTATTTCCCTTGTCTAACAGAAATTTTGTATCCTGTGGCCAAAATCTTGCTATTTCTCCCACGTCTCACCCTCTGGTAACCACTATTCTACTCTGCTTCTATGAGTTTGATTGTTTTCGATTTTATGCATAAGTTAGAACATACAGTATTTGTCTTTCTGTGCCTGGCTTATTTCACTTAACATAATGTCCTCCAGGTTCATGTATGTTGTCACAAATGGCAGCATTTTCTTCTTTTTAAGGCTGAATACAATTCCATTGTGTATATATACACCACATTTTCTTGATGCATTCATCCCTTAGGTTGATTCCATAACATGGCTATTGTTGATACTTCTGCAATGAACATGGAAACACAGATATCTCTTTGACATAACTGATTTTAAATCCTTCATATATACACTCAGATGTGGGATTGCTGATCGTATGGCAATTTATTTTTAGTTATTTGAGGAGCCTCCATACAGTTTTCCATATTGGCTATACTAACTTACATTTTCACCAACGATGTACAAGAGTTTCCTTTTCTCCACATCCTCATCAACACTTGTTATCTTTCATCTCTTTGATAGTAACCATTCTGATAGGTGTAAGATGATATCTCATTGTGATTTTAATTTGTATTTCCCTGAAGATTAGTGGTGTTGGGCATTTTTTTCATGTTTCTTTTGGTATTTGTATGTCTTCTTTGGAGAAATGTCTATTCAGTCCTTTGCACTAACAACAAACTATCCAAGAAAGAAATTAAGAAAATAATTTCATCTTTGATAGGTATAAAAATACTTAGGAATACATTTAACCAAGGAGGTGAAAGATCCTGTAAGTGATAACGATAAAACATTGATGAAAGAAACTGAGGAAGACCAAAATTAATTGAAAGATATTTTGTGTTCATAATTGGAAGAATTAATACTGTTAAATGTTTGTATGACCCAAAACAATCTACAGATTCAATGTAACCCCTATCGAAATTCCAATATCATATCTAATAGAAATAGAAAAAAATTCCTAAAATTCACAAACCTCTCAAATATTCAAGGAAATCTTGAACAAAAAGAACAAAGCTGGAGACATCACACAATCTCACTTCAAGCTATATCACAAAGCTATCATAATTAGAACAGCACATGCTACTGGCATAAAAATAAACATATTGACCAATGGTGCAGATAGAAAGCCCAGAAATGAACTATGCATTTACAGTCAATGGATTTCAACAGAGGTGCCAAGAATAAACAATGGGAGAAAAGACAGTTTTTTTAATCAAGTGTATTGGAAAAACTTGATATCTGTATGCAGAAGAATGAAAGCGGACCCTTATCTCACACTATATACATTAATCAACTCAAAGTGGATAGAAGACTTAAGTGTAAGACCTAAAACTATAAAAGTACAAAAAAAAATTACAGGAAAAACTATGAAGTTGGTCTGGGCAATGATTTTTTTGGACCTGATCCCAAAAGCTCAGGCAACAAATGCAAAAAATGATGAATGGGGTTACATCAAATTAAAATAGCTTCCATGCAGCAAAGAAAACAATTAACATAGTGAAGAGATATTCTACAGATTGGGAGAAAATATTTATAAGCCATACAACCGATGAGGGGTCAATATCCAAAATATAAAAGGAGCTAAACAGCTCAGTAGCAGGGAAACAAATGATTTGATTAAGAAATGAGCAGCACTGTTTGAATGGAGAGTAAAGTGAGGAAAGACGTTGGTCCGAGGGTACAGACTTTCAGTTGTTAGATGAAGAGATTCCGTGGACCTAGTGTACAGCGTGGTGACTACAATTTATAATATTTTATTGCTTACTTTAAAATAGATGAGAAAGCAGATTTTAAGTGTCTTCACCCCCTTCCAGACAAATGGTAACTATGGGTAGTGATGAATATTTTAATTTGTTTTAATCTGCATAACATGCATACGTATTATAAATTATCATATGGTACATCTTGAATATATACTTTTTTTTCTTTGCCAATTACCTATTTTTTTTAAAGTTAAATGATCCGATTTCTTCTTGTAGTACCTCAACTTTTCTAAATTTGCATATGGGCCACAATTGGGAAAGAAGGCAAGGACTGAAGCCTCCACGCAAACCTTGAAGGGTTTAGTGACACTAAGTGTTTGAAGGAGAATGCAGGGCAGACGTCTAAGAAGTGTGCACATGCATGCCTTTATGTATGCATGCACGTATACAAACTTGGGTTCCCTGATTCAACAACCATAGACGTTCATTGCAAACATTCGGGCATGAGCTGTGGTGCAGAAACATTACAAGGCCAAGTTTATTCCTTTCATGACCGGAATTTAATATCATCCTCTGGTCCTCAGCCAATCCTTATACTTCCTTATTTAGATAAAATGACTGAGGATTAACCCTTACTTCATGCCTCAGATCTGATCAACAGACCTACTATTAAGTTCACTAAAGCCATTCTTGCCGTTACCATTATGTATGCTGCCTCCTGTTTTAATTTTAAATAAAATATAGCTCCTAATCATCTGGTTTCTATATCCTAGAGAGGGTCCCCAGTTGGCCGAGAAGAAATTATCTTAGTCACATGTCTGTGAATCTGGATTAGTTGGTCTGGTGTGGTCTCAAGGATCTGATTACAATTTTCGATGTGTCAGCAGTTACAAAAACATAGCCTTCCAATATTCATAGCTGTGTTGAAAACGTAGGAGGTTGCGATATTTTGTTCTAATTTTATTCTACCTAATATGCTCCACTGAGTATTCCTCAAAGTCTAATGAACCTGCACAAATAAGTTATTTCACATAGGTTAATGATGCAAACAATAGAATATGTTACATTTTTTCCCAACCTTTAACTTGAATCTCTGTTGTAATTTCATTAATTCAAATATTCCTGTTGCTTTTATCATTGCTTTTTTGACAAGTATTTTCATGTTGCCCTAATTTAAAGAATGTGTGTATTTAATTATAGAACTGTTGCTTTACAAAACACAGGTTTAGTGAAATTAGTTTAAGCAAAAATGGGAAACTTGAAAGAATAATTAATTGGCAAACTTACAGATCCCAGCATCAAAAAGTGGGCTTGGACTCATGAAATCTGATAGTGAGGCACTTGTTCCTTCTTGCCCTGTTTCTCTCAGAAACCTGATCTCTCACCTGGGTTTCATTATTCACTTCTGCGTTCTCTCTCTCTCTTTTTTCTTAACTTTTTATTCTTTTCATAAATCTTGTTGCCCCAAACTCAGATTTGTGGAGCCTCTCAGTTTAAATGACTAATGGACTAGCTGTAGTTTTTGAGTCCCTATTCCAAATTATTGAAGGAACAAACAAAGTTCTCTGGCTTGCACCCACAGTCCACTCTGGTTTCAGCCATCTCTAGCCTGGCTCAGCAGGCCTGGAGGGATGATGCTGTCGACTCGTAGGCCATGAGTTCCACTCCTTAATGGGCAGGTAGGAGCAACTATGATGACAAGCTAGGCCCAGAGAAGAGGACATGAGCCAGGCCAGCACCACAGGTAAGTAACTGTTAGACTTTTTTATATGGTCTATTCTTTTTTCACAATATTCCACTATGTAAGAGTAGTGCAGGAAATACGGGAAGAGAAGACTTGAAGTGTGAAACTTTGAGTAGAAAAGTAAAATTTATTGAGATAAAATAAGAAACAAGATAGTAACAATGGAAGACAAAGGTCAACTGTCCATGTGACATCAGAGATATTTCACCAAATGGATATTTTCATCACAAAATATTCTACAGGCATAGTGTGGATATCTACCTAGCTAGCTAACTAACTATGTATCATCTGTCAAGAGCAAGAGGGAGAGAGAGGTAAGAGAAGATAACCCTGCCCTCTCCCACTCAACACAAAAATTGTCTGACTGAGCAGTTTGCCAATATTAACTCTAGTGAGATTTCATCCAGTCATTTTCTACACATTTCTGAAAATAGGCAAGGGTTTCTACTGAAGGTGGATAGAGATCTGTGTGATATTAATTTTTCTGGAGGAAGGAGAGTGTATGTGTAGTGATGCATGAGCATTGCACGTGGTCGAGAGTACCTGAGAAGATGGAATCTACATCTCCATCACCAACTATCTCAAAAGAGGCTGAAAAGTCTGAGAAGTGAACAGATGGAAGAAATGGGAAAGGTGATTTGTCAGCTCTTTCAGGAGTCTGGTAGTCACTGTTACATTTTAAGTAAATATAAATCTAGTATTAGCACGTTTTATCTGTGGGATACAATCATCCAAGTGATTTGCTATGATGCCAATTCCTAGCTTAAATGTAGTAAATAATGAAAAACATTTCTGTTTCATCTTGGGTACGATATTGGGATTACATGAATGGCTAAAATTTTCTCTTCTAGACCTTGTCTAAAACCTGTTTGGCTGTGTGTATATTTTGTCTTGAAGTAAAATTTACATTTTATAGTATCTCTTCTAATTTAGTTTCGAGTTGACAGCTGAAATATGTTTTCTAAGAAACATTTCATTGAGGAGAATTTTTGTGTCCTCTTGTTCTGGTTAAAATATCAATCTTCAAAGGTGATTTTAAAATCACTAAGCAGGACTTTTATTGGGATCATGATTGCAAAAGCCTGCATTTTCTTTTTCCTCATGGAATTTATTTAAAAGTAAAATTTAAAAGAACCCAGAAAGCTCAACTTTCAGTAAAGTGAAGATACGTATAATTCCTAGTCTGTAATGACATACATGAGACAAACAAAATGAGGGGAGAAAAGAAAGAAGTGAGAAGGAATGAAGAAAGTACAGAGGCCTCAGTGGCATGAGATCTGTCACACAGAAGCACTGTCTCCAGGTGAGAAGCACACACTTTTAAGTGTAAACATCTTACAGCAGAAACATTGTAAATTGACTTCAGTTCGCAGGAGCAGAGAAGGCAGCAAGAAAAAGAGCATATTTGTGTTGTGAAAACTAGAAAGCTTTAGAAACTACTTTGGCTTTCCTCAGCCAATAGGAATTTGGTTTGAGGAAAGCCTACATATTAAATGACAAGACATATAAAAGATTCAGTATAATATTGGAAGAAGGATACTGTGTGAAAAAAATGAAGAAAAGATCAGTAAAAATAACTAATAGAGAACATTCACTATGGAAATATTGCCCCGAAGAGATAAAAATTAGGACAAAAAATTTGGCTTAAATTAAAAAAACAAAATCAGAAACTTGGTAGACAATAGACTTTATAAAGAGAGACCACAAAATAAGAAAAATTTTAAAAATCAAGAAAGAGATGACATGGCAAAGGAGGAAATACAACATTAAGTGGGGGAAATTAGGAGAGAAGTAAAATAAAAAAATTAAGTCATCATAGAAATAAAACAGTAAAGGAGAGGATAGAACTTACTAAAATCCTAGCAGGTGATGGAGAGGACAGAAATGAGAAGAGTAAGCAAAATAAAACATTTTCAAATAAAAAGAACAAAGAGAAAAATTTTTAAAAACCATAAAACGCAGGAAAAGGAGAACCAAAATATGCACAAATTGAATTTCCAAGGAACAAAACTGAAACAGTGACGTCAAAAAAACACTTAAAGACACAATTCAATGAATAAAAATGATTTGAACTTACACTCTGAAAGATTATACCAGGTGAAACATTTCCTAAAGTGGTTGATATTGAAGCATAGAATGGAACTCATGCATAAATAATTACTTGGGCACTCTTACAAAAAAGATCAAGTCATTTATAATGGAAAAAAATTAGTCTCTCACTTCTCTATAGCAACAGTCAACACATTCATAGTGAAAAGACAGTAAAACTGCATTAAATATTTGTGAGAAAATAAACTGTGAGTCTAGTATTTTAAATTCAGCTAAATGTTCTGCTAGAATAAAGGTTGCAAAACAAGGGGTTTCAACATGCAAGAAGTCAGGAAATATTTTTTCTTGACAAAATTTCTAGAAGACACGCTTCTAGCCAACTAAAATATTCCTAAAAAATGGTGATAAAAACACTGGCTGTAAACTTGGAATACATTTAACTAAATTAATATGACAAAAGATGGATTTTAGGGTGACAGGAGAATGGAAACGTCATATAATGATATAGGAAACTGAAACAGAAAGTAGTGAAGAGGGTGGGAAGCAAACTCAGTAGTTGCCTCACCAATAAGAGCCAGCAGTCAAAGGACAACATACAAAGTTTACAAATCCTCTAATGGAAATTTTAGCATAACTAACAATACACCAAGCAAGATAAACTTAAGATTTAATTGGGTGGTTGAGAAGAGAGTTTAGAAGGGCTAGAAGAGGGCATAAGCCAATTTCACCATGGCTCATAGTTAGAATTCACAGATACTGTCCAAATCATTAGAAATAAAGCTAACATATCACTTATAATTATAAAGAAATATAAAACTTGTAAATAGCAGAACTACACACAACATACACACACACATGCACACACACACGCCATGTGTAAACATGTGCACACACAACATACCCAAGGCACATAATAAAAGACTTAAGGAAAAAACAGAGAATAACATTACAAGATATAAAAAATGCAGACTTAACATATCTGTCATAAATGGGCTTAATTCACAAAAGTAAAACAAATAATATTTTCATATTTGCTCATAAAACAAAACCCAACCCTCTGCTGAGGATACCGTGTGATTCAAATGGTTAAAACTAAAATGATATGAAGGCCAAGTGCGGTGGTTCATGCCTGTAGTCCCAGCACTTTGGGAGACCGAAGTGGGCAGATCACTGGAGGTCAGTTTGAGACCTGCCTGGCCAACCTGGTGAAACCCCGTCCCTACTAAAAGTACAAAAATTACCTGGGCATGGTGGCATGTGCCTGTAATCCCAGCTACTCAGGAGGCTGAGGCAGGAGAATCGCCTGAACCTGGGTGGCAGAGGTTGCAGTGAGCCGAGATCACATCATTGTGCTCCAGCCTGGGCAACAGAGCGACACTCTGTCTCAAAATAATAATAATAATAATAATAAAATAAAAAATGATATTCAAAGATAAAGTGGGAAAAGAAAAAGCAAAAAAAATTCATAATGGTAATGTCAGACAAAATGAAATCCAATTAACATTATTAAATGAGAAAAAGAAAAATATGTAATCATGCTAACTAATACAATTATGAGTAGATATAGAACATAAATACTTTTGAAGAAAGAGCAGATTATGAAGTTTTTAAAAATGAATATTCCAGGAAATAAAATGTGGAATAGAAACACACTGGAAATAGGATAATTTTATTCACTTCTCTCAGTACAAAAACAAATTAAAAGACTGAAAAATAGCGTAGCCAATGTGATATAATGAACAAGTTACATCTGATTAATATTTATTAAAATATGTGCTCTGAAAAGAATATATATATACATTTAAGTGCTCTATATTCACAAAAATTGACCATACATAAATGTAATATAACTAGAAATTAAATTTTAAAATAAGAAATGAACTTTTTTGTCCTAAAACCTTAAATATTCTTACTTATCTCCTTGTTCAAGGAGGAAACAAACACCAACAAAAAATGGAAGAACAGCTGGGAAAGAAAACAATGAAAATACAAGTAAAAACCTCCAGAATATAGCTTAATGAACATTAAAAGAAAATTAGTTATAGACTTACTTACATCAATAAAACAAAGCATGAAAGTAAGTGATCATATATCTGACTCAAAAGGTTAGACAAAGAAGAATGAAATAAACTAAAGGAAAGCAAAGGAGGAATTAATAGGGATGAAAGGAGAAACTGACACAGAACAGATAATTCTGAATTAGGAAGTAAATTCTAAATGTGGTCTGTTATAAAAACAGTAAAAAGATAAACCATTAGCTGATGATTGCAAGAAAAATGCTCAGAATGAACAGTAAGGACGTAATAACCACAAGAAAAGAGGAATTAGAAGAGTGGTGCATGTACTTCGCTCAATTCCATGCAAATACTTTTGGAACTATGTTTGAAATGATAATCATATTACTACCTACACATTCTGAAAAAGTATTTGGAAAAATAATTTAAAAGTCTCCATGTGATTAAAATTTAAGTGAAAACAAGTTTACTATTATAGAAACTTAATAATTAAAATATCATGGCACTGATGTAAGATAATTCAAAAAGACACATACATGCATATGAAAATTTAGCTTAAATTAAATTTGGCATCTCAAATCAGTGGGGGAATATATGGACTATATAATATATATTATTGAGAAAATGAAGCTATCCATCTGGAAAGAAATTAATATGTACACTTCACACTGAACAGCTTGAAAAAATTCTATATGAGCCAAAGATTTAAATATAATTAATGAAAATTAGAATCTATTTATGACATTACAGTGGAAAAGGACTTTCCAATCATAATTCAGAATTCAAAAGACACAAAGGAACAAGATGAAATATTCTATTACAGAGAAGTTAGTAAGCACAACCACAAAACATATGCTTGGTAAAAACAAACAACAAACAAATGTAATCTAAGCATAGTAAAATTCAAACTACTGGAGAAATGTTCCACTTTAGATCACAAGTAAGGGGATGATTTCATTATATATCAATCGATCCTATAAGCCAATACAACTTTTAAAAATCTATTGCCCCCCATCCCTGAAATTATCATAAAGATAAGTGGCTTAAAACATCAGATAGTGTGATCAAGCTCCCTCAAGCTCGTTATCAATTGACAAAAGTTTAAATTTTGTTACTATTCTCTATCAGTAAGGCTGTGGGAAATAGGGGATCACATATACTGTTGGTGGAAAAGTAAATTGGTTAAACACCTATGGGAGAGGGAGTGTAATCGATCAACATTCATCAAAATTATCAATATATATGCCTTTTGGCCCATCAATTCTACTTTTAGGAATTTATGTTATGGACATATTCACACTTTTAAAAAATAGTGGATGTACAGTATTATTCATTGCAACATTGTTTTTGACAGCAAAACAGTGGAAAAAATCCTAAATTTTCATCTGTATGGGATGGTAAAATAAATTCTGTACTTTTTTTCTGACGCTCATATGAAACTATAAAAAAGGGAGCTCCCTATGCAGTAAAATGGAAATATCTTCAGGATACATGGTTAAGTTAATAAGATGCAGCATACTGTGTATCACATGCTGCCATTTGTATTAAGAAGCTTGCTGGGCTGGCTGTGGTGGCTCACTCTTAAATTCTCAGCACTTTGGGAGGCTGAGGTGAGAGAATTGCTTGAGGCCAGGAGTTCCAGACCAGCCTGGACAACATAGTGAGACCTTGGTCTCTACAAAATAACTAAAAATTAGCTAGGTGTGGTGGCACTCCCCCTGTAGTCTTACCTACTTGGGAGGCTGAGGTGGGAGGATCACTTGAGCCCAGGAGTTCGAGGCTGCAAGGAGATATAATCACACTACTGCACTCTAGCCTGGGCAACAGAGCAAGATCCTATCTCAAAAAAAAAAAAAAAGCTGAAAAATGAGTTGTAATTTTTGCTTGTGTGTGTAACATATGTCTAGAAGGATACGCAAGAAAGTAATAATAGTAGTTGCTTGGTTGAAGATGAGATGGATGGTAATTTGATAGATGGGACAGATTTCTTACTCTATTATTTTACTGTTTGACTCTTAACCATATAATTGTAATATATTTTTCAAGAATTAAGTAACTGCTGTGAATACAAATGTTACCACATTTCTTTATGTTTCAGGAGGAGGGGGACAATTCTTAATGGATCTGAGTGAGATTCAGTGACAACTCTGAAACACATACTAAATCTTTTGACACTTAACGTTTTTGCTATGGAGTTTCCTACTGCCTCATTCTAAACTTTCATTTAATGGAAATGATTACTTTTTCCCATAAGTATTTTTGACAAATTTCACCTAAAATGTCAATTATTTCTGAGATATGAGTTTTTTCTCTGTGCATTAATTGCTTCTCCAATAATTGTGTTCGACAACTTGATATCAATTGTTTTAATAGCTTAAATGGTAATAAAATTGCTCTTTTAGGTGCTATGACTATAACATATTAAATGGATGTAATCAACACAGTTATAGGTAAACTGTGGACATGTGAAATCTGAGACAGGCGAATTTATTTTCTGCTTATACTGCTAAAGAGACCCAAGAACTGGAGAAGTTCTTCTTAAGATTGAACTGAGGTTTTGGAGAAGCACCTGAAGAAATGAGAAAGGAAAGACGCACACACACAGTTGCCTGGTTGGCCAACTCCGGGTGTCAGATGGAGACACAGGTGTGGCAGATTGATCACCAGCAACCTATGTAGAATTGCCAGCTAAGTTTAGGTAATGTTTTCTAATTTTCCTTGTGATTTCTTTTTGATGCATTGATTATTTAAGAGCATGTTTTTTAACAGCATGTTATTTAATTTTAATTATTAAATATGAATAATTATTAAGACCATGTTATTTAAGAGCATGTTATTTAATTTGCACGTTTTTATGAATTTCTCAAACTTTCTTCTGTCATTGATTTCTATTCAACTGTGGCTGGAGAATACACTTTGTATGGCTTCAGCCCTTTTACATTGACTGATGCTTGTAAGAATTCATGTGTGGTCTATGCTGGAGACTGTTCCATGCGCGCTTGAGAGGAATCTGCACTCGCTGTGGGGTGGAGGGTTCTCTAGATGTCTGTTAGGTTTACATTGTTTATAATGTTGTTCAAATCAACTATTTTCTTACTAATTTCTGCCTAGCTATTCTACCTAATATTAGAAAGCAATAACAAGTATTATTAAGCAACTGTTCTATTACAGACATTGAACTAAATTTGTGACCTTATTTCTATGTATATGTCTCAAAAATAACGACAACAAAGAATATAGCAATTCAAAAATATTTTAAAAATAAGTAACTATGTACATGGACTATATCCTATTATGAACCAATTTAAAAGACCAAAGTAAATATATCAAGGCTCTGAAAATAAGGCATAAAGTGGAAATCACAGCACCTAAATTTAGGAACATCTGGAAATCTGTCTGTTCTGCCATAGCTGTTGGATGGATGGTCACAGGTGCAGTCCATTCCCATTACAGGTTAAATAATGAGGAGAGCCATAGCTTCACATGTTCTGCTGCTTTTTTCCCCATCCACAAGTCTTTTCTGTATTAAACAACTCAGGACAGCTACTTTTGGTTGATGTATTATCATATCACAGATGCTTGTTACTGTTTGTTCTCTGGTATTTGTGTTCTTTTATTATATTTTAAGTTCTGAGATACATGTGCAGAATGTGCAGGTTTGTTACATTTTTTATGACTTTTTATGATTCGCGTGTGTTTTTGTGATGTGTGTGTATTTTTGTGATTTTGTGATTTTTGTGTACTTGTGATTTTTACAAGACAGAATTCTACTTGTAAGTAGGAATTCTGTAATGTAAATGGGGGACATTATGTATTTACCAAAAACTCATGTCTGTTTCTTTCTGGTCTTATTTCTACACCAATTGTCCTCTACCTCTTGGTCTAGAGTCTCTACACTTAAAAAATTATTGATGATCCCCAAAATGTTATTGTTTATGTGTTTTCTGAGTGTTGAAATCAATTGTAATAGAAATTAAACAAGTAAATTTGAAAATATTTATTAATTAATTTAAAAATAATAAATCTACAATGTTAACTTATTTTTTCATGAAAAATGAATATATTTACCAAAACAGAAAAATATGAGAAAAGTGACATTATATGTTTGCAGATTTCTTTACTGCCTGAATTAACAGAAGATAGCTGGATTTATGTACCTGTTTCTATTAATATAGCCAATCTGTTTCAATTAGTGGTTTTGGTTGAAATATATGAAAGTAAATGTGTCCTCACACAGATATGTAGTTGGAAAGTAGAGTAGGATTTCAAAAGTATTCTCATTGTAGATATTAATTGGAGCTACAATTATAGGCATTTTTTTCTTGGATTCTAGATCAAAACTGGAGAAGAGACAGTTCTTAAAGGTTAGTTGCAATGAACTTTATATACATGGTGGCATTAAAGTCCATTGATCTATCTTGCATTTGAATATATCTTTTATCCACGCATGATTGTTGTTACGTAATGATTTGGTCATTTGGAAAATATTGATTCACCGGCTTATGCAAGTCTTCCTTTAACTGTTAGAAATGTAAAAGCTTGGCCGTGTGCGGTGGCTCTTGCCTGTAATCCCAGCATTTGGGAGGCCGAGGAGGGTGGATCGCTTGAGGTCAGGAGTTCAAGACCAGCCTGACAGGGTGAAAACCTGTCTCTACTAAAAATACAAAAAATTAGCTGGGCATGGTGGCAGGTGCCTATAATCCCAGCTACTTGGGAGGCTGAGGCAGTAGAATTACTTGAACCTGGTAGGTGGAGGTTGCAGTGAGCCGAGATCATGCCACTGCACTCCAGCCTGGGTGACAGAGTGAGACTCTGTCTGAAAAAATCATGCTGCTATAAAGACACATGCACACGTATGTTTATTGCAGCACTCTTCACAATAGCAAAGACTTGGAACCAACCCAAATGTCCAACAATGATAGACTGGATTAAGAAAATGGAGGGGAGGAGCCAAGATGGCCGAATAGGAACAGCTCCGGTCTACAGCTCCCAGCGTGAGCGACGCAGAAGACGGTGATTTCTGCATTTCCATCTGAGGTACCGGGTTCATCTCACTAGGGAGTGCCAGACAGTGGGCGCAGGCCAGTGTGTGTGCGCACCGTGCGCGAGCCGAAGCAGGGCGAGGCATTGCCTCACCTGGGAAGCGCAAGGGGTCAGGGAGTTCCCTTTCCGAGTCAAAGAAAGGGGTGACGGACGCACCTGGAAAATCGGGTCACTCCCACCCGAATATTGCGCTTTTCAGACCGGCTTAAGAAACGGCGCACCACGAGACTATATCCCACACCTGGCTCGGAGGGTCCTACGCCCACGGAATCTCGCTGATTGCTAGCACAGCAGTCTGAGATCAAACTGCAAGGCGGCAACGAGGCTGGGGGAGGGGCGCCCGCCATTGCCCAGGCTTGCTTAGGTAAACAAAGCAGCCGGGAAGCTCGAACTGGGTGGAGCCCACCACAGCTCAAGGAGGCCTGCCTGCCTCTGTAGGCTCCACCTCTGGGGGCAGGGCACAGACAAACAAAAAGACAGCAGTAACCTCTGCAGACTTAAGTGTCCCTGTCTGACAGCTTTGAAGAGAGCAGTGGTTCTCCCAGCACGCAGCTGGAGATCTGAGAACGGGCAGACTGCCTCCTCAAGTGGGTCCCTGACTCCTGACCCCCGAGCAGCCTAACTGGGAGGCACCCCCCAGCAGGGGCACACTGACACCTCACACGGCAGGGTATTCCAACAGACCTGCAGCTGAGGGTCCTGTCTGTTAGAAGGAAAACTAACAACCAGAAAGGACATCTACACCGAAAACCCATCTGTACATCACCATCATCAAAGACCAAAAGTAGATAAAACCACAAAGATGGGGAAAAAACAGAACAGAAAAACTGGAAACTCTAAAACGCAGAGCGCCTCTCCTCCTCCAAAGGAACGCAGTTCCTCACCAGCAACAGAACAAAGCTGGATGGAGAATGATTTTGACGAGCTGAGAGAAGAAGGCTTCAGACGATCAAATTACTCTGAGCTACGGGAGGACATTCAAACCAAAGGCAAAGAAGTTGAAAACTTTGAAAAAAATTTAGAAGAATGTATAACTAGAATAACCAATACAGAGAAGTGCTTAAAGGAGCTGATGGAGCTGAAAACCAAGGCTCGAGAACTACGTGAAGAATGCAGAAGCCTCAGGAGCCGATGCGATCAACTGGAAGAAAGGGTATCAGCAATGGAAGATGAAATGAATGAAATGAAGCGAGAAGGGAAGTTTAGAGAAAAAAGAATAAAAAGAAATGAGCAAAGCCTCCAAGAAATATGGGACTATGTGAAAAGACCAAATCTACGTCTGATTGGTGTACCTGAAAGTGATGTGGAGAATGGAACCAAGTTGGAAAACACTCTGCAGGATATTATCCAGGAGAACTTCCCCAATCTAGCAAGGCAGGCCAACGTTCAGATTCAGGAAATACAGAGAACGCCACAAAGATACTCCTCGAGAAGAGCAACTCCAAGACACATAATTGTCAGATTCACCAAAGTTGAAATGAAGGAAAAAATGTTAAGGGCAGCCAGAGAGAAAGGTCGGGTTACCCTCAAAGGAAAGCCCATCAGACTAACAGCGGATCTCTCGGCAGAAACCCTACAAGCCAGAAGAGAGTGGGGGCCAATATTCAACATTCTTAAAGAAAAGAATTTTCAACCCAGAATTTCATATCCAGCCAAACTAAGCTTCATAAGTGAAGGAGAAATAAAATACTTTATAGACAAGCAAATGTTGAGAGATTTTGTCACCACCAGGCCTGCCCTAAAAGAGCTCCTGAAGGAAGCGCTAAACATGGAAAGGAACAACCGGTACCAGCCGCTGCAAAATCATGCCAAAATGTAAAGACCATCGAGACTAGGAAGAAACTGCATCAACTAATGAGCAAAATCACCAGCTAACATCATAATGACAGGATCAAATTCACACATAACAATATTAACTTTAAATATAAATGGACTAAATTCTGCAATTAAAAGACACAGACTGGCAAGTTGGATAAAGAGTCAAGACCCATCAGTGTGCTGTATTCAGGAAACCCATCTCACGTGCAGAGACACACATAGGCTCAAAATAAAAGGATGGAGGAAGATCTACCAAGCCAATGGAAAACAAAAAAAGGCAGGGGTTGCAATCCTAGTCTCGGATAAAACAGACTTTAAACCAACAAAGATCAAAAGAGACAAAGAAGGCCATTACATAATGGTAAAGGGATCAATTCAACAAGAGGAGCTAACTATCCTAAATATTTATGCACCCAATACAGGAGCACCCAGATTCATAAAGCAAGTCCTCAGTGACCTACAAAGAGACTTAGACTCCCACACATTAATAATGGGAGACTTTAACACCCCACTGTCAACATTAGACAGATCAACGAGACAGAAAGTCAACAAGGATACCCAGGAATTGAACTCAGCTCTGCACCAAGCAGACCTAATAGACATCTACAGAACTCTCCACCCCAAATCAACAGAATATACATTTTTTTCAGCACCACACCACACCTATTCCAAAATTGACCACATAGTTGGAAGTAAAGCTCTCCTCAGCAAATGTAAAAGAACAGAAATTATAACAAACTATCTCTCAGACCACAGTGCAATCAAACTAGAACTCAGGATTAAGAATCTCACTCAAAGCCGCTCAACTACATGGAAACTGAACAACCTGCTCCTGAATGACTACTGGGTACATAACGAAATGAAGGCAGAAATAAAGATGTTCTTTGAAACCAACGAGAACAAAGACACCACATACCAGAATCTCTGGGACGCACTCAAAGCAGTGTGTAGAGGGAAATTTATAGCACTAAATGCCTACAAGAGAAAGCAGGAAAGATCCAAAATTGACACCCTAACATCACAATTAAAAGAACTAGAAAAGCAAGAGCAAACACATTCAAAAGCTAGCAGAAGGCAAGAAATAACTAAAATCAGAGCAGAACTGAAGGAAATAGAGACACAAAAAACCCTTCAAAAAATCAATGAATCCAGGAGCTGGTTTTTTGAAAGGATCAACAAAATTGATAGACCGCTAGCAAGACTAATAAAGAAAAAAAGAGAGAAGAATCAAATAGACACAATAAAAAATGATAAAGGGGATATCACCACCGATCCCACAGAAATACAAACTACCATCAGAGAATACTACAAACACCTCTATGCAAATAAACTAGAAAATCTAGAAGAAATGGATACATTCCTCGACACATACACTCTCCCAAGACTAAACCAGGAAGAAGTTGAATCTCTGAATCGACCAATAACAGGCTCTGAAATTGTGGCAATAATCAATAGTTTACCAACCAAAAAGAGTCCAGGACCAGATGGATTCACAGCCGAATTCTACCAGAGGTACAAGGAGGAACTGGTACCATTCCTTCTGAAACTATTCCAATCAATAGAAAAAGAGGGAATCCTCCCTAACTCATTTTATGAGGCCAGCATCATACTGATACCAAAGCCGGGCAGAGACACAACCAAAAAAGAGAATTTTAGACCAATATCCTTGATGAACATTGATGCAAAAATCCTCAATAAAATACTGGCAAACCGAATCCAGCAGCACATCAAAAAGCTTATCCACCATGATCAAGTGGGCTTCATCCCTGGGATGCAAGGCTGGTTCAATATACGCAAATCAATAAATGTAATCCAGCATATAAACAGAGCCAAAGACAAAAACCACATGATTATCTCAATAGATGCAGAAAAAGCCTTTGACAAAATTCAACAACCCTTCATGCTAAAAACTCTCAATAAATTAGGTATTGATGGGACGTATTTCAAAATAATAAGAGCTATCTATGACAAACCCACAGCCAATATCATACTGAATGGGCAAAAACTGGAAGCATTCCCTTTGAAAACCGGCACAAGACAGGGATGCCCTCTCTCACCGCTCCTATTCAACATAGTGTTGGAAGTTCTGGCCAGGGCAATCAGGCAGGAGAAGGAAATAAAGGGTATTCAATTAGGAAAAGAGGAAGTCAAATTGTCCCTGTTTGCAGACGACATGATTGTTTATCTAGAAAACCCCATCGTCTCAGCCCAAAATCTCCTTAAGCTGATAAGCAACTTCAGCAAAGTCTCAGGATACAAAATCAATGTACAAAAATCACAAGCATTCTTATACACCAACAACAGACAAACAGAGAGCCAAATCATGGGTGAACTCCCATTCACAATTGCTTCAAAGAGAATAAAATACCTAGGAATCCAACTTACAAGGGATGTGAAGGACCTCTTCAAGGAGAACTACAAACCACTGCTCAAGGAAATAAAAGAGGAGACAAACAAATGGAAGAACATTCCATGCTCATGGGTAGGAAGAATCAATATCGTGAAAATGGCCATACTGCCCAAGGTAATTTACAGATTCAATGCCATCCCCATCAAGCTACCAATGACTTTCTTCACAGAATTGGAAAAAACTACTTTAAAGTTCATATGGAACCAAAAAAGAGCCTGCATTGCTAAGTCAACTCTAAGCCAAAAGAACAAAGCTGGAGGCATCACGCTACCTGACTTCAAACTATACTACAAGGCTACAGTAACCAAAACAGCATGGTACTGGTACCAAAACAGAGATATAGATCAATGGAACAGAACAGAGCCCTCAGAAATAATGCCGCATATCTACAACTATCTGATCTTTGACAAACCTGAGAAAAACAAGCAATGGGGAAAGGATTCCCTATTTAATAAATGGTGCTGGGAAAACTGGCTAGCCATATGTAGAAAGCTGAAACTGGATCCCTTCCTTACACCTTATACAAAAATCAATTCAAGATGGATTAAAGATTTAAACGTTAAACCTAAAACCATAAAAACCCTAGAAGAAAACCTAGGCATTACCATTCAGGACATAGGCGTGGGCAAGGACTTCATGTCCAAAACACCAAAAGCAATGGCAACAAAAGACAAAATTGACAAATGGGATCTAATTAAACTAAAGAGCTTCTGCACAGCAAAAGAAACTACCATCAGAGTGAACAGGCAACCTACAACATGGGAGAAAATTTTTGCAACCTACTCATCTGACAAAGGGCTAATATCCAGAATCTACAATGAACTCAAACAAATTTACAAGAAAAAAACAAACAACCCCATCAAAAAGTGGGCGAAGGACATGAACAGACACTTCTCAAAAGAAGACATTTATGCAGCCAAAAAACACATGAAGAAATGCTCATCATCACTGGCCATCAGAGAAATGCAAATCAAAACCACTATGAGATATCATCTCACACCAGTTAGAATGGCAATCATTAAAAAGTCAGGAAACAACAGGTGCTGGAGAGGATGCGGAGAAATAGGAACACTTTTACACTGTTGGTGGGACTGTAAACTAGTTCAACCATTGTGGAAGTCAGTGTGGCGATTCCTCAGGGATCTAGAACTAGAAATACCATTTGACCCAGCCATCCCATTACTGGGTATATACCCAAATGAGTATAAATCATGCTGCTATAAAGACACATGCACACGTATGTTTATTGCGGCACTATTCACAATAGCAAATACTTGGAACCAACCCAAATGCCCAACAATGATAGACTGGATTAAGAAAATGTGGCACATATACACCATGGAATACTATGCAGCCATAAAAAATGATGAGTTCATATCCTTTGTAGGGACATGGATGAAATTGGAAACCATCATTCTCAGTAAACTATCGCAAGAACAAAAAACCAAACACCGCATATTCTCACTCATAGGTGGGAATTGAACAATGAGATCACATGGACACAGGAAGGGGAATATCACACTCTGGGGACTGTGGTGGGGTCGGGGGAGGGGGGAGGGATAGCATTGGGAGATATACCTAATGCTAGATGACACATTAGTGGGTGCAGTGCACCAGCATGGCACATGTATACATATGTAACTAACCTGCACAATGTGCACATGTACCCTAAAACTTAAAGAGTATAATAAAAAAAAAAAAAAAAAAAAAAAAAAAAAAAGAAAATGGCATATATATGCCATGGAATACTATGCAGCCATAAAAAATGATGAGTTCATGTCCTTTGTAGGGACATGGATGAAATTGGAAATCATCATTCTCAGTAAACTATCGCAAGGACAAAAAAACCAAACACTGCATGTTCTCACTCATAGGTGGGAATTGAACAATGAGAACACATGGACACAGGAAGGGGAACATCACACTCTAGGAACTGTTGTGGGGTGGGGGGAGGGGGGAGGGATAGCATTAGGAGATATACCTAATGCTAAATGATGAGTTAATGGGTGCAGCACACCAGCATGGCACATGTATGCATATGTAACTAACCTGCACATTTTGCACATGTACCCTAAAACTTAAAGTATAATTAAAAAAAAAAAAACTTGAGGCACTTACATTTTCGCAAACTTTAGATCAATTGTAAAAACTGGGAAGCCATCAAAGAAAGCAGAAAACATAATGTTCAAGTCAGATTGGCCCTCAAAGATGAATGCAAAGGGAGTATCTGTGAATAGGTGGAGTGAAGTTACAGATAGTAATGGACTATGGAGATTCTTCTCCAAAACAAAACCAGGAGCTAATCAGCGAAACACTCCCAACCCAGGAGAGGATAGCTGCCCATCAAGGCTTCTGGGTGAATGGACCTGTGTGCAATGTTTTTACACACTCTGAAGGAGAAGGTTTACTGAGGTTGCCCAGCCTCTGCTCTCCCACATATATTGCACATGTATGTGATGACCACATGACTTGCACTGCAAACTAATGTCACCAGCCCATGAAGAGCCACATCTGCAGCAGAAAGTGAATGATGTTTCATATCATCTATATTATTTTGAAATTTGAGCTGGTGTGGTACTTAGATGGAACCTGAAGTGCCTTCCTTGGATAAGAGCAAGTGATTTTCCGTTAAGAGAAAAAATGAAATGGATGCTAGGGCACAAGAAGAGTGGACTATGGCAGAGACAGCAATGTGCTCCTCCCATTTTGTTTCCTCTCCCCTGCAGACAGTGGTGCTACATTTCCATCATATTCAGGGCTGTCAGGTGGTTCCAGTTAACCCGCCTGCCAGGGGTGACTTCTCCACTTCTGTCTGATTCACATCAAATATGAGTCTTAGACATCACCAGACGCTCAAGTGGTTTATTCTGGCAGTGTTCTTAAGAGTCAGATAGTGGGAGCAGGCTGAGTCCTGGGCCAGTCTCAGACTGGGGTCAGGTGATGGCCTGGCTGAGAGGACCTCCATCTTGACACCATTCTCAGAGTTTGGAGGATTCTTCCCCCTTTCTTATAACTGTATTCAGTCTCGGTCAGTTACCAAGTATTTCCTAAAGAGAGTTAGACTATTCTTGCACGAATAACCTTTGTTTTAAGACTTATGAGAGTTGAATCTGGCTGAATTGGCCTTATCTTCTGGAAATCCCCAGGCCAGGGTTAAAAATTCCCAGACCAGCTTGTAGCTTACTGTTAAGTGATGTGTTGTATTGGCCCTGGGAGATGCTTGGGTGGATCTATGGCTATCATTAATGCTATAGGCACTATATGACAATTTCCCAGCCTTTCATGAAGTCCATTGGGGCCATTGAACACTGACCACGTGAAAGGGTTGTCTTGCAATCAGGTATGTTAATATTGACCCTAACCTCAGCGAGAAATAATGTTCTATTGTGTAAAATACCTGGTTTGCTGGTTGCTTTTGTTGTGTTGTAACACTAGTCTTACTTGGCTGATGTTGCTAATTCAATGGTGTTTCCACATTTTAAAGCTCACAATGTGCTTGTTTAATAGTTTCTATGAGCCATATGGCACCCGATTTGATAGCAAAATTCAGTGAAAATTCACTTGCTCTTAAAATCCAAGGAAGGCACTTCAGGTTCCATTTAAGTACCACACCAACTCAAATTTCAAAATAATATAGATGATATGCAACACCATTCACTTTCTGCTGCAGATGTGGCCCTTCATGGCCTGGTGACATTAGTTTGCAGTGCAAGTCTCCCACATGCAATACATGTGGGATAGCAGAGGCTGGGCAACCTCAGTAAACCTTCTCCTTCAGAGTGTGTAAAAACATTGCACACAGATCCATTACCCATAATCTGAGAGTGTTGATTGATTACTAACTAAATGAAATCTAGAATATGACGAGCTACAAAAAAGCCTAGTGAAAAGGTCCTTCTGAGACCCTGATAGAGTAAGAAGCAATGCTAATTATTCCTTCAAAAATATCCAAAGGGAAGAGAATTTGTAGCAGCAAGAGCAGCATCAACAACAATGAACAGAATATGGTCTTTTCTCAATAAGACAATAGGGCTTTCTACACTGAATAATTTTGGAAATACAGTCTATAATATATTCCCCCATATGTTTATCTCATAATTTTGAACCTATTTGATTTCTCTATATTTACTGAATTCTATGAAGGTGTGTTTGGTAATATCCAATAACATTGTCTCGAATCCTGTTAAGATTCTTGATTGGCATTAGGGTATGAGAATGATTTACCCTCTATTTGTCCCTGGAGGGAAACAATTTTTCTATTAGAAAAGGTGCCTCTGGATAGATTTTAAGGCAACTCTTTGAAAATCATCTGTTATTATAACAATAAAATACAAAATGTAACAACAAATACATTTGTTGTATTTGGCATTCATTTGAAATGATCAAGTGAATAATGTTTAGAGACACAAAGAAAATCCTCCCCTTGAAAATATTTGCTTCATAAAATAAAATAATAGAGTGATTGGTATTTATTCTCAATTTGATTAGAGAGTATTTCATGCATCAAACAAATAGAGACAGAAAGATAATGCATTGAAAAGAAGACCTTAACGAACTAAATAAATTAGATTTGGAAACAAAGAGTAGAATTAAGCTTGCAGGAAAGATAATCTGTGATATTTAAGATAAAATTAAGAAACAGTGAATCAAAGCAATTATAGAAAATATAATGAAATAAAAAATAGTATAAAGTAACTTAATCTAGGAAAGAAAGTAACTGTTGATGGAAAGAGAGGAAATAAATGAGAACACATTATGCAAGGTAAACTGGGAGAAAATATCCAGAAATAAACAAATAAATGAACCTCTAGGATTGCCTAATAATATAACTGATCAATTCCTGTGACAACTGCAAAATATTATATGTAATTAAGAAGCATATTGTTTTCAACAAAATGGATAAAGAAACTGTGATGTATTTATATAATGAAAAACCATAAAGTGCTAGATATAAAAGAGTTACACTTAGAGAAGAACATGGATCAACCTCACATACATAATATTGACTGAAAGAAGCAGACATAAAAATATGTATTTCATAATTTTATTTAAATGAAGGCTATTTGTGACAATAGGATTTGCTTATTTCTGCATTTTTATGTGTGAATATATTTTAGAATTTTTAATACTCATGCCCTTAATAAATGGTCTGTACTAATATTATTGCCATTTATCAAAATGTCATTACTTTTTTGATTTACTTTTCCCTTACAGACTTCTCAAAATAGATGTAGCATGTTGAAGACCCCGAATTAGTGACAGGAGGATTTAAGTGCTAGATCTCTCTTTAATACAATGTAAAATTGTCGGAAAATCATATAGTTTCTTTATAGATTGGCTTCCTCATTTGCACACCAGATAGTGCTTTACAACGCATAGAACAAGGACATCTAACTATGGGCCAACATAGTTGCAACTCTACAATTTGACTCAAAGAATAACAATGACATCTTTTGTTTTTCTAATTTGAAAGATAATAGTCTAATCCTTCACTTCATGAATGTAACTACTTCGCAATTTTTGATAGGTGGAAACTATTCTTACAAGGCTTTAGGATAAATTATGATATAACCATAATCTGTCAATAACAAGCAAACTTGAACATCAAGCAGATAATTCAAATAACACACACTTGTAAATATAAATCAGAGTTCGTTTTATGCCTGATAGTCTTTTCTGTATGAAATGTATACTTTTCTAAAGCAAATAGGAGCTGGAGCAGCTGCAAACTTGGTGCTTGCCGATTTGTCAGTTGTTTGAAAACTGTGCAAATTATTAGCACTTGTACTATACTTGGATACTTGGAAGCCATTTTTGCAAAAAATAGGAAGCAATTTTATCCTAACGTGGATTTTAAAGCAAGCATATTGGCTAAGAAGGCGCACTGGGCAGAGATTTACATCAAACTGACACTTCAAATAAAGAGTATCGTGGGGAAACGTGATGCCACTTGCCTCTTGGAAACTATGACCAGGCTTTGACCTTAGAGAAGTAAAAGGTACCTTTCTCTCCTTATGAAATTGGCTATATAAGTGCGTGGCTTGCATAAGCAAATACGCAGAAAAAGAGAATTCCTCTAGCATTGAATAAGTTAAATTATGTGCTTGTTGTACACAATTTTAAAACTGTAGAAGTTACAAATAAAAAAAATCAGCCATGTCCTCATCTTTCCAAGATAGAGTATCATTTGTTTTCACAAAATTGGAATCCTTCAGCACATTAATTCTCCATCTCGCTTTGTTCACTTAACATTCCATCATATAAATTTACCTACATCACTTCTTTCCTTTAAAAATGCAGTTAATTACATTTTGTGATTACACATTATGAGTCCACTACAATTTGTTTAACCAATACTCAGTATTGGATGTCTACATATTTGCTCTTGTTTACAAAAATGTGGTGAATATGTAAATCTGATAAATCGCTTAAAGTATTTTTTTGCTATAAGCAAAATAAGTTATTGGGTTACAGGGTGTCTTAATTTTTAAGGTTCTTCGGAAAACGAAGTACCGCATGTTCTCACATATAAGTGGGAGATAAATTATTAGAACACGTGGACTCATAGAGGGGAACAACACACACTGGGGTTTATTGGTGGGTGGAGGGTGGCAGGAGGGAGAGGATCAGGAAAAACAACTAGGCTTAATATGTGGGTGATGAAATAATCTGTACAACAAAACCTCATGACACAAGTTTACCTATATAATAAACCTGCACATGTACCCCTGAACTTAAAAGTTAAAAAAATTACAGAATAGCTTCTGAAAAAAACTTTTTAAGATTCTTGAAGCATATTTTGAAGTTGCTTTCCCGAAAATTTTTTATTGATTTTATATTCACAACAGATGTTGTGAATTTTTAAGTTTTTGAGTTAAATTATTAAATTGATAATGGATTCATACAATTATTTGTAAGGTTCTTTGACACCCTGACCCTAAAACAGACTGGAAGGAATTCTTTCTTGTAGTCGTATTTCCCTCCACTACCCTAGGGAGTGAGAAGTTCTAGGATGACGAGGTGTGCTTGAGTACATTTGAGGACAGAGTTCATTGGTCAAAGCAGCTTTGAGAGCAGGGATTTGCTGGAAGTAATGAGAACTTCTGTTTCTAGGGAGAGCAGATAATAAGAATCTATTTTTCTATGGGATAAAATATTTATTTCTCCAGAAATATTTTAAAGAAATTAAAGGGTATATTTTTCTGGAAAGTTCATAATGCATGCTCTCCATTGTAGGCAGATATACCAAATAATGCTTAAAATAGTTTATAATATCATTACATGATATTAAGAGATAAATCAAGTCATCCTTTACATTCTTTTTATAGGATCTTCTCTGGACTTGTCATATAACCTGGTTTCTATTTTATATGATAGTTTTTTGTGGTTGGTGGTGGTGGGGGGACTTCTCTCGTTTATTGTGTCCTCCTTAAAATCTAGCGCTCAGCCCCATAGGCAAACACTCATAAAAACTTGTTGAATGGAGCAATCACTCATAAAAATTTGTTGAATGGGGCAATGAATGAATCAATGAATGTATACATGAGTTTTATGTGTGATAAACTAGTTACTAGATTTAGCACTAGGATGATTAACCAGTTTATTAGGTCCTTCTTGGTTCTTCCCTCCCAAGCTACTTGAATAGTTCAACATTACTTGAACAGTTGGGTGACCTAATTCGTATTGTATTGCTTTTGCCCAGTCATTCTTAGTGTTGGATTCATAGAGTTATCAACTGTTGGAGTGGTTTCAATGCTTGGAATCCAAGGGATAAAGTAATTAAAGCAAACAAAACAGGGGCACAATAAAATGTTTACTAACTTTAAAATTTTGTAAAAAAGATAATAAATACCACCATTAACTTATGCTATCACTTTTATTTCACAGGATAGAAGTCATTTTGACATCCCCAAATAGGAAGAATTTACCCTTTGGAATTCTTCTGAGAGCTGATTGTATATCTAACAAATACTTAATTGTTTGTTGATTGATTGATTATTTTTTTTTAGTATTGAAGACAAAATGTTTATTTTTTTCAAAGAAAAATGGCAATAGCCAATTAGAAACCTACTTATTTTTTCAACTGCAATTTTATTTTCATTTCATGGAGAAGTGACTTACTGACTTAATATTTTAAATAGCTCCTTCCCCTTCTCATCTGAAGTTTATTGCCTACTTGTGGTGAATCCTTCCAAAGAGATCATTCCACTGTCCCTCAAGTTCTGAGGCTTTGTTTCTTATACCAAAAAATGCAAAATGTAATTTCATAGTGTTATATGTGTGTGTCAATTGTTAAAAATGAAAAAAATTTGGAATAGGCAATTAAGTTGAATTTTTTAAAAATCCACACAAATGGGGCTTGGTTGAAGCAGAAATCCATTCCTGTGCTCCGGGACATCTGATTTGGCTCCATGAGTCTTTGTAAATTTCTTTTTTATCCTAGCCACATTATGATTTTAAGAATATTAATTCAAATGTAAAGAATAATTTCATGGCAAAATATCTTGTGTGTGATTGAACTGAGGATATGTTGGCATGGGCTGGCATTTAGGAACTCATGACAAGAATACCATCCCTTCCAGTTTGAAATTCCTCTCTTAGTGTCTGTGCACCTGATCCTTAGCATGGGAGGTAACCCCTTTTTGCTGTGGGAGGCATTGTCACATTGAACATATCTGAGACCTTCAATATTTGGTAGAGTCGGAGCCTGTATCTCTTTTGCTCTGCAACTGTTTTATGAGAAACTCCTGAAATATGCTCCTGTAAATTTGAAATTTTAAATAGAGTGACCTATTCATAGGTTTATAATATGAATGGTATATACCAGTTTATAATACAAAGGAAGAGCTCTTGCCCCCTTCCTCCCCACATACTTTCATACTTTCTCTCAATCTGCGGGAGGGCTATTTTTCTTTTTCTTTTCTTTTTCTCTTTTCTTTCTTTCTTTCTTTTTCTTTTTCTTTTTTTTTTTTTTTGAGACAGAGTTTCGCTCTTGTTGCCCAGGCTGGAGTGCAATGGCGCGACCTCGGCTCACCGCAATCTTCGCCTCCCAGGTTCAAGAGATTCTCCTGCCTCGGCGTTCTCAGTAGCTGGGATTACAGGCATGCACCACCACTTCTGGCTAATTTTGTATTTTTAGTAGAGACGAGGTTTCTCCATGTTGGTCAGGCTGGTCTTGAACTCCTGACCTCAGGTGATCTACCCACCATGGCCTCCCAAAGTGCTGGGATTACAGGCATGAGCCACTGCACCCGGCCTGGGCTATTTCTTTAAACCCATATTTTCAAAGTCTTCTGGGAGCTGATTCTATCTCTACTATTTATTTAATTATTGATTAATTGATTGATTTCGCACTTATATAGTGACCTCCTGCCAAGGCCTCAAGGCCCCCTAAAGTATCTTCAAGTGACTTAGAAAAGGCTGGTGCCTGAGTGCACAGCTTAGTAATCAGACGGGGGCTGGACTCAGTCCCACTGGGTGATGATCTCTGGGCAAGTCACAACAACAGTAGCTATGTGTGGCACCTCCACTTCAGATTATGCTGGACAAGGAATGGGCCTTTCTTTCTTCAGCCCCTCCCGATTCTCTTGGGTTGTCAGAGACAACCCAAGATGTACTTGGTTACACTTGATACCTCTTGCTAGTAATTCCTGATCTTGGCCCACCCTCGTTCTGTTTAAGTCATCATGCCAAGATCTGGAGAACCCAATCCTTCCAGAGTGTTTAAACTTAACATGCACCCTATTTTGACTTTGGAACAAAGTCATGCACACACTAACCCAAAGAAATGCTTTCTTTAAACAGACATGCCTACAATCCTCCTGGCGTATGACTTCCAGGAAGTAAGTTGCATTGAATCAAATTTTGCTATGGGCACCAACAGATTCATTTGAGGTACAAATTTTGTCAGGTTATGGTATGAGTATTAGAATAAGACTGTAATTTTTGTTGCTCTGGTTTAATTTATGACTCAAGACCAGTAGCTGTTGCATCGGATTAAAGGGTATTAGCAAGAGCTCAGTGGACCTTACAAATAAGGTCTGCCATTTTCTGTAGAGTATAAAATGTTCTCTGATCTGGGCCCAAACAAAATCATACAGAGTTGTATTATTGAGAAAGAAAATGAAACACCAAAATTTTATATGGATCAAGATCAATGGGTCCTGAAAACAGCTTTTCAGAGTATTTAATTAGTTTGATAGGAACCATCCACAATTCTCTAAATTTCCATCACTGAGGAAAAAATACAATATTCCTTTGTTTACCATGGTCTTTGAAAGCAGAACAAAGAGAGAATCCACTTAGATTGCCTTAATACCTTTATTTTCCAACATTATAAAAGACAATCTCATTTGTACCCAAAATAATAGTGGCTGGCACATGTGCACTGTTTGCCAGGCATTCTTCTAAGCTTATATATATATTGGCTTGTTTAAGGAATTCAGCTTAGCCAGACCATAAGAAAATTGGAATCTGAAGTCTTCATTTGTATCTTCCAGGATTGCATGGTATTTTAAATTTCTGCTTCTCCTTAGTTCCTGAGAACTGGAAAATTAGGATGCACAGACTCCTTTTCTTTGTATCTTTTAGGGGTTGCATAATATCGCTCATGTGTGTTACACATTAATTTTCCTCCTAACCCTTTCCTGTTTGCACATGGCCAGAGATGACCTGCCCAGAGGCGGCTTCATAGGAGAGATCAGCTCCTGGGAGTGGAATCTGAGCACTTTAGCTCACTCTATGGGTTGGTCTGAGTCAGAGGTCTTCCCTGTGTCCAGTAGACTGTGGTGACATCTGTATGAGTCATGAGGTACAATCTTTACCAGAGACCATCCTGAAGTGATTTCAGACTTGGAGAATGGGCTGTCAGTCGTCCCAAATCACATCTAGGAACCTTGAAGAATGGGGCCTCTGCAAGAGGAGGTGGGCTGGGTCTTCTTGGTGAGTTTTGCAGCCAACGTCTGCCAGGATGGTGTGTGGTAATGGTGAGCCAGGCAAGGCCGGGGTGGAGCCTCTGTCCACTGCTAGGAGGCTGCAGATTCCTGAAGGTTCTTCCAGACGTGCCTCTAGATCTCCCCATCATTCCTGTTGGAGTTGATTTCTAACTGTTCCCTCTCTTTTCACATCTCTCTCCTCTACACCTCAGACAGAATTACCCTTCATAAATACACATTGATCCTATGGATTTACTATTAAAACTTCATTCATTGATCCCCATGGCTTGCAGCAGCAGCGTTTACGGGGTGCCAGGTACACTGGTCAGTGTGACCCAGTTGGCGAGCTGGTAGGAGGGGGCTGTAGGTGCCACCGCTAAAGGGCAGGAAGCGCCATCGCGGCGCCTTATCCCTGGGCTCCAGCTCTGGGGAGTTGGAGTCACTGAGGGAAACCGAGGGAGGCTGGCCTGAGGAATTCTCACCGTGGCGCCTCCTCTCCAGCCGCGGCCCACCTTCTGCTTCAATTCGCCTCCTGTCAGCCTTAATATTCTCTCCCGGTCTAGACACCATTTCCTGAAAGTCCCCCTCATCCCTCCCTTGTTTATGTTCTTTTCTGTGACCTAAAATGCTCTTGCACACCCTCCTTCCCAGCCTGCAGAGACTCGTCTTTATGAATCTCATCTTGTTTCTTGGCGCAGCTTCCCTTTTCCCATCTGGCACGGGAAGCCGGCTGCTCCTCCTGGTTTCTCTGTATTGGACACGTATTGATCACAGCGCTCAGTGTTGCTTAGTGAGGCCTCTGTTCCTCCCACCTCACCGCGGACTCCTGGAAGGTGGTGAGCATTTCTATTCATCTTCCTTTCCACAGGCTGCACTCAGCCTTCCTGGGCACACTTTTCTGCTGAGACTCAGAAGTCTGAGTGCTTGGCTTGCAGGTGCTTGGCCATCCTCTCTGTTCTCCGCCGCCCTTCCTCACTCTCCTTGATTGATCCCTGGGCCGCCGCTTGCTTCAGCTCCTTGTGTTCGTTAGTGAGTCGAGGCTGTGGTGGAGTCTGGAGGTGCTGAGCCGCTCTGGGACTTTGGAAAGGCTCCTGGAACATCTCCACTTAGCATTTTCACACCATCACGATGATCTGTCAGCACTATTATCTCCACCACGGGATGACGAGGTGTCCTGACTTGCCCTGAACTTTCCTGATCGGACTGAGGAAACCTCTCAGGCCTGGGCAAACCGGGATGTTCAGTGTCGGTAAATTAGAACCTGGATTCCTCCATGGCAGGGCTCTACGTGTTTTATCTTTTAATCCCTGTAAAGTAGTATGGCACTGGAACAGAGGAAATGCTCACTAAATGTTTGCTGAGTGAATGAATGAATGGATTAATTGCAAAAGGCTGAACAACAGCTAGGAAAAAAAAAACAAACAAACAAGATTCAAGCTGCTGATTAGATGGCGCTGACTATGAGGGTAGGTTTTCCCAGCAGCCCTCCTGGTGCAGCTGCAGCCAAAGCTTTAACCTAGAAGCATGCATTTCAATGCTAATGCTTCATGGTGTTGTATGATTCCCAGGGAAGAGCAAACACTGGTGCTGAGTAAGCTGCCCACTTTTGTGTCTATTGCATTTTAAGTAGGAAGCCAAGAACAGAGGCAGGATGCTCTGAGGACACAAGCTAAGCCTGCTTCTAGCTCTCAGCTGCCTGTTACTCACTTCTTGCCTTAATATTGATTTCATTTATTTTACTCCCAGATTTGTGGCAATATAATTTCAATAGATAGTTTACTATTCAGCAATGGTCCTTGTAACCATAAAAAAATCTCTATTTCATTGTCGATTTTTCCAGGCTTATAGTTCGGGGCTGTGGATCTGATGATGTGGTGTCTTATGTGAGGGGGTCGAAGATCATTCCTTACAATGCTTGGACCCATCTGCACACCAGTTGTTTATTTGAAACGTTTGCCAGATTAACAAATACCTACTTGAGCCTCTTCTGGGCCAGGAATTGTCTTTGGTTAAATGCCCTCCCTGAGAAACCAAGCTTAAGGGCTCCTGACCCAGGTTGGGTTAGGGGTGGGAGACACCTAGACCAACTGTGTGGGGAGCGTGGAGCCTGAGAGAAGGATCCAGGAGGCCATATGGGAGAAACGAAGCTCAGTAAAGTCATGAATATGAGGACACTAGGCAGACAGGGACCAGAGGGAAATTAAGGAAATCATTGCAAGTCAGAAGTTTCAAAGTCAGGGTTGGAAACAGCACCTGGAGAAATTCCCTGATGACCCGAAAGAGAGAATCTAAAGCTGCCTGTTTATTCCTGGGCAGAAAGGGAGCCAGTGTGGACCAGTGCAGCCTGGCTGCTCTCTACCTCTCCTATCGCTGGGAAGACCCGTTCAGCAGACCAGCCTGGAGCTGTGGCTTAGGCAATCCTCAGATGTGAGTCCTGCCTCAGACCCTTCCACAAATGATTTAATATCATGAAGCCTCAGTTTCATCAGGTATAAAATTAGGTGAGGATCAGGCTGTCCTGGGCAGTTTGGGGGATCATTAAGTGAAAGAATTTATACAGGCAATAAAGGACTAGCTTGGTCATAGTTGTGTGTTGTCATTCATTTGAGAACCTCTTTGGATGACTTCGGGTTCAGCACACAATGAAATGTGAACCTGTGAATCAGCCCCTTAACATATACTCATGCTTTCTGGGAGCTCCCTGCAGAGGTATAGTTCCCTGTGATCAAGGGCAAGCAATCTACTAGTCACCGTAGGAAAAATACTTAGGTAACCACAGTAAAAACTAAAACCTGCAAAGTGCTAATAGCTAGAAGTATAGCTAAAATAACATTGAGTTTTAAAGGAGGGAGAGATTTGTTGTATGTTTCATTTCCCAGGCTGAGATGTCTTCACAGAAAAATCTGGGGGATGTCTAGAGAGGTAATAATTGGACCGGTGATTCTCAACTTGGCTGCCACATGTGGGAATTTTTAGATATTAAATATGCTTGGTTCTACCTCCAACCTACTGGTTTGGGGTGGGGCAGGGCCATGTGCATGACAGAGCTCTACACAGCTCTCATGCCCATCAGGAGCACACATGTGGGTCTGATGCATGGAGAGGTTTGGTTTTGGTGCACGTAACTAGAAGTTATAGAAAATAAGGAATTGTAGGTGAGGGCATACTGCAGCCTGCTCTGAAGCCTGTGTAAAGAGGTTTAAGTGTCTGTCAATGGATTTTGGGAAGCAGAGTTGCATGACTAGACCTAAACTTTACCAAGCCCCTCCTAGATGCAGAGGGTACATGTTTAGAGGCTGCAGAGGTATCCCAGGTGATACATGAAAAGTTCTCAATTTAGTGAGTGGGATAATATGGGACTAGAAGTGGGAAACAGGCATCCTTCTGGAGAGGCAGTTTGAGGTTCTTAAGTGTCCATTCACCTTATAAACATTACTGTGCACTGTGCTATCAGCAGGCACTGCACTTTCAGCACTGTGCTAGGGGCTGGGTGTATATGCAGTGAAGAAGCTACAGTGGCTGCCTTCATGATGCTTACACTGCATTAGCATCCTATTTACTGGAAAAAATTGTCACACATGTGATGGCTTCAAACAATACAAATTTATGATCTTATAGTTCTGGAGGTTAGAAGTGTGAAATAGGTCATAGAAGGCTAAAATCAAGGTGTGAGCAGGGCTGCGTCCTTCTGGAGGCTCCAGAGAAGAACTGATAACCTTTATTTCCAGCTTCCAGAGGCTGTCTGTATGGCTGGCTTGTGGTCCCTGCCTCTGTCTTCAAGGTCAGCAATGGGGGTGAGTCTCACACCACGCCACTCTAACATTGACTCTTCTGTCTCTCCCATCCACATTTAAAGGATGCCTGAGATTCCATTGGCTTTGCTTAGATGATATTGGGTAATTTTCTTATCTTAAAGTCAGTGGATTACTAACCATAATTCCATTTGCAAACTTAATTCCCCTTTACCATATGTCATCATATGTTCACAGATTCTGAGGATAATGCATGGACGTCTCTGAGGAGGCACTCTTCTGCCCATCATGCACTGTGCTGAGGGAAGCCAGATGACAAGATAAACAGATACATGAATTGCATGCATTTCTGTATATATGTGCATTTGTATACATACATAACTTCACATCAAGAAATGCATATTGACAGAAGCAAAGAAAATGCTGTAATGGAGAATAAAATGGAGAACAAGTCTGTTGGAAGAGGAGACATCTGTGCTGAGAACTGAAAGAGAATACAATCTCTCTTCCAATTTCTCTTCTCTAAGAAAATAGCTTTATGGTTTATACTCATAAGATTGTTTTGAGGATTGAATGATGTGAATGATGTAAATGATGTAACAATTTTTACAGAACATCTAGTAGTATCACTGATGATTCCCCAATGCTTACAATAGTTTCTTCACAGCGGTGGCTGCAGAACAGCGGTGGCTGTAGAACAGCGGATTTTGGTGACCCGCAAATGCTGCTGCCTGATCATTCCTCTGGAAGTTTTGTCTCAGAGGAGTACCCAGCCGTGTGAGGTGTCAGTCTGCCCCTACTGGGGGGTGCCTCCCAGTTAGGCTGCTCGGGGGTCAGGGATCCACTTGAGGAGGCAGTCTGCCCATTCTCAGATCTCCAGCTGCGTGCTGGGAGAACCACTGCTCTCTTCAAAGCTGTCAGACAGGGACATTTAAGTCTGCAGAGGTTACTGCTGTCTTTTTGTTTGTCTGTGCCCTGCCCCCAGAGGTGGGGCCTACAGAGGCAGGCAGGCCTCCTTGAGCTGTGGTGGGCTCCACCCAGTTCCAGCTTCCGGGCTGCTTTGTTTACCTAATCAAGCCTGGGCAATGGCAGGCGCCCCTCCCCCAGCCTCGCTGCTGCCTTGCAGTTTGATCTCAGACTGCTGTGCTAGTAATCAGCGAGACTCCGTGGGCATAGGACCCTCAAGGCCAGGTGCGTGATATAATCTCCTGGTGCGCCGTTTTTTAAGCCCGTTGGAAAAGCTCAGTATTAGGGTGGGAATGACCCGATTTTCCAGGTGCCTCTGTCACCCCTTTCTTTGACTAGGAAAGGGAATTTCCTGACCCCTTGTGCTTCCCAGTGAGGCAGTGCCTTGCCCTGCTTCGGCTCGCCCACGGTGCACTGCACCCACTGTCCTGCATACCAGAGTCTCTGGGACACATTCAAAGCAGTGTGTAGAGGGAAATTTGTAGCACTAAATCCCCACAAGAGAAAGCAGGAAATATCCAAAATTGACACCCTAACATCACAATTAAAAGAACTAGAAAAGCAAGAGCAAACATTCAAAAGCTAGCAGAAGGCAAGAAATAACTAAAATCAGAGTGGAACTGAAGGAAATAGAGACAAAAAAAACCCTTCAAAAAAGTAATGAATCCAGGAGCTGGTTTTTTGAAAAGATCAACAAAATTGATAGACCACTAGCAAGACTAATAAAGAAGAAAAGAGAGAAGAATCAAATAGACCCAATAAAAAATGATAAAGGGGATATCACCACTGATCCCACAGAAATACAAACTACCATCAGAGAATACTACAAACACCTCTACCCAAATAAACTAGAAAATCTAGAAGAAATGGATAAATTCCTAGACACATACACCCTCCCAAGACTAAACCAGGAAGAAGTTGAATCTCTGAATAGACCAATAACAGGCTCTGAAATTGAGGCAAAAATTAATAGCTTACCAACCAAAAAAAAGTCCAGGACCAGATGGATTCACAGCCGAATTCTACCAGAGGTACAAGGAAGAGCTGGTAACATTCCTTCTGAAACTATTCCAATCAATAGAAAAAGAGGGAATCCTCCCTAACTCATTTTATGAGGCCAGCATAAATGATACCTGATACCAAAGCCTGGCAGAGACACAACAAAAAAAGAGAATTTTAGACTAATACCCTTGATGAACATTGATGCAAAAATCCTCAATAAAATACTGGCAAACGGAATCCAGCAGCACATCAAAAAGTTTATCCACCATCATCAAGTGGGCTTCATCCCTGGGATGCAAGGCTGGTTCAACATACACAAATCAATAAATGTAATCCAGCATATAAACAGAACCAAAGACAAAAACCACATGATTATCTCAATAGATGCAGAAAAGGCCTTTGACAAAATTCAACAACCTTCATGCTAAAAACTCTCAATAAATTAGGTATTGATGGGACGTATCTCAAAATAATAAGAGCTATCTATGACAAACCCACAGCCAATATCATACTGAATGGGCAAAAACTGGAAGCATTCCCTTTGAAAACTGGCACAAGACAGGGATGCCCTCTCTCACCACTCCTATTCAACATAGTGTTGGAAGTTCTGGCCAGGGCAATTAGGCAGGAGAAAGAAATAAAGGGTATTCAATTAGGAAAAGAAGAAGTCAAATTGTCCCTGTTTGCAGATGACATGATTGTATATCTAGAAAACCCCATTGTCTCAGCCCAAAATCTCCTTAAGCTGATAAGCAACTTCAGCAAGTCTCAGGATACAAAATCAATGTACCAAAATCACAAGCATTCTTATACACCAATAACAGACAAACAGAGAGCCAAATCATGAGTGAACTCCCATTCACAATTGCTTCAAAGAGAATAAAATACCTAGGAATCCAACTTACAAGGGATGTGAAGGACCTCTTCAAGGAGACGTACAAACCACTGTTCAATGAAATAAAAGAGGATACAAAGAAATGGAAGAACATTCCATGCTCATGGGTAGGAAGAATCAATATTGTGAAAATGGCCATACTGCCCAAGGTAATTTACAGATTCAATGCCATCCCCATCAAGCTACCAATGACTTTCTTCACAGAATTGGAAAAAACTACTTTAAAGTTCATATGGAACCAAAAAAGAGCCTGCATTGCCAAGTCAACTCTAAGCCAAAAGAACAAAGCTGGAGGCATCACGCTACCTGACTTCAAACTATACTACAAGGCTACAGTAACCAAAACAGCATGGTACTGGTACCAAAACAGAGATATAGGCCAATGGAACAGAACAGAGACCTCAGAAATAATGTCGCATATCTACAACCATCTGATCTTTGACAAACCTAACAAAAACAAGCAATGGGGAAAGGATTCCCTATTTAATAAATGGTGCTGGGAAAACTGGCTAGCCATATGTAGAAAGCTGAAACTGGATCCCTTCCTTACACTTATACAAAAATTAATTCAAGATGGATTAAAGACTTACATGTTAGACCTAAAACCATAAAAAGCCTAGAAGAAAACCTAGGCAATACCATTCAGGACATAGGCATGGGCAAGGACTTCATGTCTAAAACACCAAAAGCAATGGCAACAAAAGCCAAAATTGACAAATGGAATCTAATTAAACTAAAGAGCTTCTGCACAGCAAAACAAACCACCATCAGAGTGAACAGGCAACCTACAGAATCAGGAGAAAATTTTTGCAATCTACTCATCAGACAAAGGGCTAATATCTAGAATCTACAATGAACTCAAACAAATTTACAAGACAAAAACAAACAACCCCATCAAAAAGTGGGCAAAGGATATGAACAGACACTTCTCAAAAGAAGATATTCATGCAGCCAAAAAACACATGAAAAAATGCACATCATCACTGGCCATCAGAGAAATGCAAATCAAAACCGCAATGAGATACCATCTCACACCAGTTAGAATGGTGATCATTAAAAAGTCAGGAAACAACAGGTGCTGGAGAGGATGTGGAGAAATAGGAACACTATTACACTGTTGGTGGGACTGTAAACTAGTTCAACCATTGTGGAAGTCAGTGTGGCGATTCCTCAGGGATCTAGCACTAGAAATACCATTTGACCCAGCCATCCCATTACTGGGTATATACCCAAAGAATTATAAATCATGCTGCTATAAAGACACATGCACACATATGTTTATTGCGGCATTATTCACAATAGCGAAGACTTGGAACCATCCCAAATGTCCAACAATGATAGACTGGATTAAGAAATTGTGGCACATATACACCATGGAATACTATGCAGCCATAAAAAATGATGAGTTCATGTCCTTTGTAGGGACATGGATGAAACTGGAAACCATCATTCTCAGCAAACTATCGCAAGGACCAAAAACCAAACACCACATGTTCTCACTCATATGTGGGAATTGAACAATGAGAACACATGGACACAGGAAAGGGAACATCACACTCCCGGAGTGTTGTGGGGTGGGGGTAGGGGGGAGGGATAGCATTAGAGATATACTTAAAGTTAAATGACGAGTTAATGGGTGCAGCACACCAACATGGCAAATGTATACATATGTAACAAACCTGAACATTGTGCACATATACCCTAAAACGTAAAGTATAATAATAATTAAAAAAACAAACAATAGTTTCTTCACATAGAAGGGCCTCAATAAACACTTGTTGAATCAAAAAATTCATTTTGAGTTTTGTGCTGTTGCATCAGGGATATTATTTTTGGAAACATTTTCAGACGTATTTCTATATTCTGACGATTTTTGCCTTGGAGACTTCACCCTGATTAAAGCAATGAGTTTTAGTGCTTTAGAGAGAGAAGACATACCTGCTAAATCAATAAACTCGTTTCTCCAGTTTGACTGTCAAAGTAGATTTTTTTGCTTAAATCTATATCAAGAAAATAAGGATTGTAAATCAGACTTTCTGAGGACAAATGGGAGCTTGAGTAAAAGCAAGCGTGAGAGAGAAATAACTTTCTGAGGCCTTTTGGAATACCAGAAATCAAACCTGGAGGCAGCGCATTATGGCATTCCTGCTCCTTCCAGAAACGTGGAGTGGACACCTGCACCTATGCCGGCAGGAAAGTGAGCTGTGCAGTCAGGGAGAAGGAGGGGTAAGGAGAGAAGAAAGAGAAGGGGGAGCAGCACACAATGTAGGGCCAGGAGACTCTGCAAGCCAATTCCTTCAAAACTTGTAAGATGGTTCAGAGGAAGGAGACAGGGAGCAATCCTGAAAGACTGGCATTTCCTCCACTCCTTGGAGCTTGTGCCTTGAAATGGGGTTTCTCAAAACATGTTGATGGATATTGCATGTGAGAAGAACATCAGGAGCATAGCTCCTTTTGCTGGATGTGCAGTCATTTAGGGCAGTGGCTCTGAAACTTCAGTACACGTCAGAATCTCCTTGAATAAGCTTCAAGAGCTTTAAGATACAGATTGCTGGACCACTGCCCCACCCACAGTTTCTTCTTTGGTAGGTCTGGGGAGACGCTGGTGTTCGTGGTCTGGGACCATACTTAAAGAATTACTGCTCTAGGGGAAGACCTCTGCCCTGTGCTGGACAAGGATAAATTGACAACTTTGGAAGCAGGGGGCAAGAGATTTTTTTGGCACCATTTCTGGATCCCTTTGGTCTTCCTATGGGATAAAAAGGAACTGGAAATTCCTTTGAATTCACTTAGAGATGCTGAGAATACAGTGGACTAAACAAACTTGGGGTTAGGATTAAGATAATCCTGAAGGCAGAGAGTGTGAGAATGGATGCTGGAGGCAGGCACTTCAGGAATGAGTTCTGCTCTGGCAAGGGAGTTGGAATCTAAGTGACGGTGTATTTTGACTGAAGAAGCTAAGATTTAGTTAAGAAAAAAATTTTAATTTTGTAAATCAGCCTAGGTTTCTTGGTTGGTACTTACATCTATTTTACTTTACTTATTTATTTTCTGCTCACACTGTCGTGGATGGGAGACTATGTGAAAGACGGACTGTAAATGAAATTTGAAAGCTGCACTTTTTTTCTCTAAACATAGTTAGAATACGGTGTCTGTAAAGCTGAGATCTTACTACTTTCATTCACTTGTTACTATCTGCTTCTGCCCGTTCAATTGTAAATTCTTTAAAAACAAGGACCGGCCGGGGGCGCGGTGGCTCACGCCTGTAACCCCAGCACTTTGGGAGGCCGAGGTGGGTGGATCATGAGGTCAGGAGTTCGAGACCAGCCTGGCCAACATAAAGGAAACCACGCCTCTACTTAAAATAAAAAAAAAAAAAAAAAATTAGCTGGGTGTGGTTGCGGGAGCCTGTAGTCCCAGCTACTCGGGATGCTGAGGCAGGAGAATCACTTGAACCCAGGAGGTAGAGGTTGCCGTGAGCTGAGATCAAGCCACTGCACTCCAGCCTGGGTGACAGAGTGAGACTCCATCTCAAAACAAACAAAGAAACAAAAACTCACAAAGTCCTTGCATGTCTTGCTGATTCAAGTAAGTGCTTGATGGATATTTAATAAATGAATAAATAGAAAAGAAGGATCAAAGTGTAGTAGAAATGGTCACCAATGATATGAGGACATATAAAGAAAGAGTACATAGCCATTAAATTATTTTCCAAAATATCCAAAGTTATATAGAAATCCTTATATTATAATGTTAACAGTAAGAGTTATAATTCCATATGCTCTCAATATGCAAAGAGGAACTTCTCTGGGAAAACCACACCCAATGTAAACAGTTACTCTGGGAAGTGGGTTCATGGGTCATGTTTATTTTCTTCTTTATGCTTTTCTGCTTTTGCTAAATTCACCTATTTAATGTTGGCACAGGCTCTTCGATGAAAAATGCTATGCCAAGTGAGTGTGCATGAATATTGTCCAACGTACCCCTATTAAAGGAACATTATTGTAAATGAAAGTTATTGCTTTAAGGAATGTAGCCATGAGAGCTGCAATGATGAGAGCACAGGGAAGTGGGAATGTAATTTAAAAGACCAAGCAAACCGTGGCTGCACAACACAAGCTAATGCTGGTGATGGTAAATAAAATAGTCCCTTGTTATTCTCATCAATTCAAGCACTTCCTGCAGCCCTGCCATGCCAGAATGCAGGGAGCTAGCAACCAAGGTAGATGTCCATGGCAACTAGGGGAAGACTGCCTCATTCATAGTCATGATCTTTCCATTTCAAACCAAGCAGAGGTGTTTCTTATACACATAGTGCACAAGGAAATGAAAAAGCATTCGAGAGTTCTAATGCTTTCCTGCCTTTTCTCAAAGGGTTCATAGACAGGCCAAGAATGTAGATATAGATGTAAATGTAGAGGTTGATGTAGATGTAGGTATAGATATATGGGTGTAGAAATTGGTATAGGCATATATGGAGCTGGAGATGATGCAGAGTTAAATATATAAATGTAGGTATAGGTGTGGATGTAGATGATGTTGATGTAGATATACAGATGTAGACATAGGTGTAGGTGTAGATAAAGATGACGTAGATGTATAGATGCAGATGTAGGTGTAGGTGTAGATGATGGTGATGTGGGCACTCAGATGTAGATATGGTTGTAGGTGTAGATGTAGGTGTAGACAATGTTGATGTGGACATACAGATGTAGATGTAGTTGTAGGTATAGGTATAGGTATACGTATAGATGATATTGATGTAGATATACAGATGTAGATGTAGGTGTAGGTGGAGATCTAGGTGTAGATGATGGTGATATAGATGTACAGATGTAGGTGTAGGTGTAGAGGATATAGATGTAGGCACTCAGATGTAGATATAGGTGTAGGTGTAGATGATGTCGATGTAGACATACAGATGTAGGTGTTGGTGTAGGTGTAGATGATGTTGATGTAGATATACAGACATAGGTGTAGGTGTAGGCATAGAGGATGTAGATGTAGACACTCAGATGTAGATGTAGGTGTAGATGTAGATGATGTTGATGTAGACACTCAGATATAGGTATAGGTATAGGTGTAGGTACCCCATGATCTGTCTTCTACCAGCTTCTCTGGCTTCCTCTTTCTCTTATTCTTCGTGGATTATAAATTCTTTTGTCTCTTGTGCACATATTGTGCTGCTTCATGTCCTATTGCCTTTCTTTATGTCATTTCTTCCACCTGGGAAACACTTTTCTTCCTCTCCAGGGCCAGACCCAGTGGTCACACTTTCAGGAAGACTTTCCTTTACTGTTTGGGCAGAGGGGTGGGTGCCCTCTCCAATCCCACGGATTCTGTGTTTTTCTCTGCCTTAACACTTATCACACAAGGAGGTCATTGCCTTCTGATGGGGACTGGGATTGGAAGGAGGCTGAAGAGCATAATAAGATATTTCTCCAATGGAGGTCCACAATTTTCTAGGCCATTGCTAGTCTACCCCTGAGCATAGCCAGGGATTTTAGTGCCCATGAGTTTGTATTTATAACTGAGTTGGCACCAAGCAATGCTTCTTTCACTGTCACAAGCTAATAGGAAATGTATTTGGGTGAAGTAACTAATAAATGATGTGCTTTAACCTAGTGGAGGCCAGATGGTACCACGGTGTGCGGTACTGGCGAAGTTTCGTAGCTGCTCAAATAGAGGGAAGTGGTGGGAGATGTTGGGGCTCCAGGACACAGGGGAGCCCTCCTCAAAGGGATTTTCCTAACTTTATGAGATTTATGGTTGCAAAACCTCATCCTCTGCCTCATTAACATGCAAGTTTAATTTAAGTTCTATTGGTTTTGTGGTTTCCGTAGTACTTAAAGATGTATACCATGTTATGAGATGTGTACCAGGCGTGAGAACTGAAGGAATTTGTGCTTAGTTTTAAGTCTTTAGGTAGTTACCATCACAGCACAATAAGTTACCTGATGAGGATGATGGGGAGCCCCTGCCCCCTCTAATAAAAGGACGCTTAGGAAACGTATGTTGGGTGGTTAATCGTGTGACCTCTAGGAGCTAACTGATTAGTTTCAAATTCCTCCTCCTCTGCTTACTTTCTGAATGGCTTTAGAAAAACTTCTGAAACTTTTTGAACCTTAATGTCCTCACTGGAAAATGGGGTAAATATTGCTACTTACTTTATATGGTTGTTACAGAATTTTATTTTATTTTATGTTTTAAGAAATAGGGTCTTGCTCTGTCACCCAGGCTGGAGTGCAGTGATGCGATCATAGCTCATTACAGCCTGGAACTCCTGAGCTCCAGTGATCCTCCCACTTCAGCCTCCCAAGTAGCTGGGATGGCAGGCGTGCATCACCATACCTGACTGAATGTTATAGGATTAAGTGAAAGAATTCATGTGAAGTGGTTAGTACAGTGAGTCATGCTGATTGCAAATGAAATTCATGTTATTAATGTTATTCAGCAACTTCAGAGCAGATGCTATACCTTATTTAACTCTGTTCTCCTGAACAAAATCAGGTGCTTGGAATATATGAAATATATAAATGTTTGTTAAAATAAAATCCTCTTCTCCACCATAGTTTCTGGCAAAGGGGTTTCCTACATGGAGGCATAGATTCACTGTGACTCCTAAGTCAGCTCCGACTGAGACAGAACCTATGTTCCCAGCTCTGTCTTTCAATAATTGGATCTTTGAATGATGCAACAGGAGCTCATGACTCCCAGAACCCAAAATAGCTCCCAGAAGTCTCTTTGCTGCCAGTCTGACCTGGGGCCTTTTGTTTAGAAAACGATTCTTTAGTTTTAGAAATTGTATCTCAGTGTCTCTCTACATGCTAGTTTGTTAATCCCATCCTTACCCCAGCCTCTTTGTGTTAACCCGATATTTTTATAGACTTTTGCATTAATCCCCATGCCCCAGTTCCAGCCAGTTTCTTTGCCACATCTGCCAGGCCTGTGGCTCCTACATACAGAGGGCCCTGCAGTCTCGGCTTGCTTCCACCAGCCCTCCTCGAAGGGAATATTCCTAACTTTATCCTACTCCAGTGGCATGGCTTGCAGATGATGAATGTATGCCCATGAAACACATTGCTTGAATCCCCTCCCCTGTGAGCTTCCTGTTACCTGAATGATGTCTAGACTCATCCCAACTTGAAGATTCTGCCCAGCTTACCCACTAGAAACTTCTAAGGCAGTCATTGGAACCTGACCAGATGTTTAACATAGGGCGTCATTCCAGGGGCATCTCTTGAGCTGGTCTCTGATTTCCCCATTCTCTTTGCCTGCCTGAAGTTTCCTTTAGTATGAAGAGGGTTTGCCCTAAAGTCTCAAAAGAGTAAAGCTCATCATAGATAAGAGTAGTGGGGGAAATCATAGAGTAGAGTCCTGGAAATAGCCATGCTCATTCAGGGTGTGATGCAGAGGCAATTTCTCTGGTGACAGGCTCATTGTTAGCATGGGCAATCAATGGAAAGTTAGGCAGAGGCCTGAACAGGTGTCTTAAAAAATAAGAACACAGGTGCCCACTAAACCTGTGTGGAGATTTTCAACACTGTTAGTAAAGAGAGAAGTGAAAAATCAGGAACAGGATGATTTAGTATTTTATACTCGTTCAGTAGGCACACATACAAAATCTGCAAATGTCAATTCTGGAAGGGATGTGGACACATAGGTACTCTCAATTTTTGCTGCTGGATTGAGCTTGGTGCAGTTTCTTTGGGAAACAGGTCGGCATTATTTTCTAAAATGAAATACATACCTTCTAACATTTGCAATTCCACTTGGAACTACTTGAGAGAAACAATTACACATATCCAACAGAAGACATGCAAGAATGTTCATAGCTTCCCTGTTTAGAAGAGAAAACCTAGAAATGATTGAATGCAAATCACCTGGAGAGTAGACTAATCAATTGCTGTGTATTCCCACAATAGAATAATTTTCTACAATCCAAACCAGTATACTGTAGTGACAGATGAAACTGTGGATGAATCCTAGCAAGGTAGCATAAGTGAAAAATCCCCAAGGATTATACATGGCATGATGCCTGATATATAAAATTTTAAATAATATAAATAATATTGTTTATGTCTGTGTGAATATGGGTGGGGATGCAGAGCAAAATCATATCAATATATATTGTTAATCCCATCATTACCCCAGCCTCTTTGGGTTAACCCCATATTTTTCTATGATATATTGATATGGTGATGTGGTTTGGCTCTGTGTCCCCACCCAAATTCAAATATGTATATTATAAAATTATAACACATGTATATCAAGTCCTTCTAATAGCCACCCTCCCCTCCAGACTGGAGCCCTCTTCACTCCCACCAGCACCTGGGGCCCACACTGGTTGGCTCCCATGGTGCCCTGTCTGCAATGTGCCCCCCAGCCCCAGGGGCTTGGCAGAGCTGCACCATCCTTGCAGGTGGGGGTTGTTGTGTAAGTTATTTTTGTACATGTTGAGGTGTGGGTTCTAAAGCCTCATCCCTTCTCCCTCAGCCTCACCATATTAATTCTACAGAAAGTTCTTTATTATTATTATTATTATTATACTTTAAGTTTTAGGGTACATGTCCACAATGTGCAGGTTAGTTACATATGTATACATGTGCCATGTTGGTGTGCTGCACCCATTAACTCATCATTTACATTACATATGTCTCCTAATGCTATCCCTCCCCACTACCCCCACTGCACAACAGTCCCCTGTGTGTGATGTTCCCCTTCCTGTGTCCATGTGTTCTCATTGTTCAGTTCCCACCTATGAGTGAGAACATGTGGTGTTTGGTTTTTTGTCCTTGCGATAGTTTGCTGAGAATGATGGTTTCCAGTTTCATCCATGTCCCTACAAAGGACATGAACTCATCATTTTTTATGGCTGCATAGTATTCCATGGTGTATATGTGCCATATTTTCTTAATCCAGTCTATCATTGTTGGACATTTGGGGTGGTTCCAAGTCTTCGCTATTGTGAATAGTGCCGCAATAAACATACGTGTGCATGTGTCTTTATAGCAGCATGATTTATAATCTTTTGGGTATATACCCAGTAATAGGATGGCTGGGTCAAATGGTATTTCTAGTTCTAGATCCCTGAGGAATCGCCACACTGACTTCCACAATGGTTGAACTAGTTTACAGTCCCACCAACAGTGTAATAGTGTTCCTATTTCTCCACATCCTCTCCAGCACCTGTTGTTTCCTGACTTTTTAATGATCGCCATTCTAACTGGTGTGAGATGGTATCTCATTGTGGTTTTGATTTGCGTTTCTCTGATGGCCAGTGATGATGAGCATTTTTTCATGTGTTTTTTGGCTGCATGAATATCTTCTTTTGAGAAGTGTCTGTTCATATCCTTTGCCCACTTTTTGATGGGGTTATTTGTTTTTTTCTTGTAAATTTGTTTGAGTTCATTGTAGATTCTAGATATTAGCCCTATGTCAGATGAGTAGGTTGCAAAAATTTTCTCCCATTCTGTAGGTTGCCTGTTCACTCTGATGGTGGTTTGTTTTGCTGTGCAGAAGCTCTTTAGTTTAATTAGATTCCATTTGTCAATTTTGGCTTTTGTTGCCATTGCTTTTGGTGTTTTAGACATGAAGTCCTTGCCCATGCCTATGTCCTGAATGGTATTGCCTAGGTTTTCTTCTAGGCTTTTTATGGTTTTAGGTCTAACATGTAAGTCTTTAATCCATCTTGAATTAATTTTTGTATAAGGTGTAAGGAAGGGATCCAGTTTCAGCTTTCTACATATGGCTAGCCAGTTTTCCCAGCACCATTTATTAAATAGGGAATCCTTTCCTCATTGCTTGTTTTTGTCAGGTTTGTCAAAGATCAGATGGTTGTAGATATGCGACATTATTTCTGAGGTCTCTGTTCTGTTCCATTGGCCTATATCTCTGTTTTGGTACCAGTACCATGCTGTTTTGGTTACTGTAGCCTTGTAGTATAGTTTGAAGTCAGGTAGCGTGATGCCTCCAGCTTTGTTCTTTTGGCTTAGAGTTGACTTAGCAATGCAGGCTCTTTTTTGGTTCCATATGAACTTTAAAGTAGTTTTTTCCAATTCTGTGAAGAAAGTCATTGGTAGCTTGATGGGGATGGCATTGAATCTATAAATTACCTTGGGCAGTATGGCCATTTTCACAATATTGATTCTTCCTACCCATGAGCATGGAATGTTCTTCCATTTCTTTGTATCCTCTTTTATTTCATTGAGCAGTGGTTTGAAGTTCTCCTTGAAGAGGTCCTTCACATCCCTTGTAAGTTGGATTCCTAGGTATTTTATTCTCTTTGAAGCAATTGTGAATGGGAGTTCACTCATGATTTGGCTCTCTGTTTGTCTGTTATTGGTGTATAAGAATGCTTGTGATTTTTGTACATTGATTTCGTATCCTGAGACTTTGATGAAGTTGCTTATCAGCTTAAGGAGATTTTGGGCTGAGACAATGGGGTTTTCTAGATATACAATCATGTCATCTGCAAACAGGGACAATTTGACTTCTTCTTTTCCTAATTGAATACCCTTTATTTCCTTGCCTTGCCTGATTGCCCTGGCCAGAACTTCCAACACTATGTTGAATAGGAGTGGTGAGAGAGGGCATCCCTGTCTTGTGCCAGTTTTCAAAGGGAATGCTTCCAGTTTTTGCCCATTCAGTATGATATTGGCTGTGGGTTTGTCATAGATAGCTCTTATTATTTTGAGATACGTCCCATCAATACCTAATTTATTGAGAGTTTTTAGCATGAAGGTTGTTGAATTTTGTCAAAGGCCTTTTCTGCATCTATTGAGATAATCATGTGGTTTTTGTCTTTGGTTCTGTTTATATGCTGGATTACATTTATTGATTTGTGTATGTTGAACCAGCCTTGCATCCCAGGGATGAAGCCCACTTGATGATGGTGGATAAGCTTTTTGATGTGCTGCTGGATTCCGTTTGCCAGTATTTTATTGAGGATTTTTCATCAATGTTCATCAAGGATATTGGTCTAAAATTCTCTTTTTTTGTTGTGTCTCTGCCAGGCTTTGGTATCAGGATGATGCTGGCCTCATAAAATGAGTTAGGGAGGATTCCCTCTTTTTCTATTGATCGGAATAGTTTCAGAAGGAATGGTACCAGCTCCTCCTTGTACCTCTGGTAGAATTCGGCTGTGAATCCATCTGGTCCTGGACTTTTTTTTGGTTGGTAACCTATTAATTATTGCCTCAATTTCAAAGCCTGTTATTGGTCTATTCAGAGATTCAACTTCTTCCTGGTTTAGTCTTGGGAGGGTGTATGTGTCGAGGAATTTATCCATTTATTCTAGATTTTCTAGTTTATTTGGGTAGAGGTGTTTATAGTATTCTCTGATGGTAGTTTGTATTTCTGTGGGATCAGTGGTGATATCCCCTTTATCATTTTTTATTGGGTCTATTTGATTCTTCTCTCTTTTCTTCTTTATTAGTCTTGCTAGCGGTCTATCAATTTTGTTGATCTGTTCAAAAAACCAGGTCCTGGATTCATTGATTTTTTGAAGGGTTTTTGTGTCTCTATCTCCTTCAGTTCTGCTCTGATCTTAGTTATTTCTTGCCTTCTGCTAGCTTTTGAATGTGTTTGCTCTTGCTTCACCAGTTCTTTTAATTGTGATGTTAGGGTGTCAATTTTAGATCTTTCCTGCTTTCTCTTGTGGGCATTTAGTGCTATAAATTTCCCTCTACACACTGCTTTGAATGTGTCCCAGAGATTCTGGTATGTTGTGTCTTTGTTCTCATTGGTTTCAAAGAACATCTTTATTTCTGCCTTCATTTCGTTACGTACCCAGTAGTCATTCAGGAGCAGGTTGTTCAGTTTCCATGTAGTTGAGCGGTTTTGAGTGAGTTTCTTAATCCTGAGTTCTAGTTTGATTGCACTGTGGTCTGAGAGACAGTTTGTTATAATTTCTGTTCTTTTACATTTGCTGAGGAGTGCTTTACTTCCAACTGTGTGGTCAGTTTTGTAATAGGTGTGGTGTGGTGCTGAAAAGAATGTATATTCTGTTGATTTGGGGTGGAGAGTTCTGTAGATGTCTATTAGGTCCGCTTGGCGCAGAGCTGAGTTCAATTCCTGGATATCCTTGCTAACTTTCTGTCTCGTTGATCTGTCTAATGTTGACAGTGGGGTGTTAAAGTCTCCCATTATTATTGTGTGGGAGCCTAAGTCTCTTTGTAGGTCACTAAGGACTTGCTTTATGAATCTGGGTGCTTCTGCATTGGGTGCATATATATTTAGGATAGTTAGTTCTTCTTGCTGAATTGATCCCTTTACCATTATGTAATGGCCTTCTTTGTCTCTTTTGATCTTTGTTGGTTTAAAGTCTGTTTTATCCGAGACTAGGATTGCAACCCCTGCCTTTTTTTGTTTTCCATTTGCTTGGTAGATCTTCCTCCATCCCTTTATTTTGAGCCTATGTGTGTCTCTGCACATGAGATGGGTTTCCTGAATACAGCACACTGATGGTTCTTGACTCTTTATCCAATTTGCCAGCCTGTGCCTTTTTATTGGAGCATTTAGCCCATTTACGTTTAAGGTTAGTATTGTTATGTGTGAATTTGATTCTGTCATTATGATGTTAGCTGGTTATTTTGCTCGTTAGTTGATGCAGTTTCTTCCTAGCCTTGATGGTCTTTATAATTTGGCATCTTTTTGCAGTGGCTGGTACCAGTTGTTCCTTTCCATGTTTAGTGCTTCCTTCAGGAGCTCTTTTAGGGCAGGCCTGGTGGTGACAAAATCTCTCAGCATTTGCTTGTCTGTAAAGGATTTTATTTCTCCTTCATTATTGAAGCTTAGTTTGCTAGATATGAAATTATGGGTTGAAAAATTCTTTTCTTTAAGAATGTTGAATATAGGCCCCCACTCTCTTCTGGCTTGTAGAGTTTGTGCTGAGAGATCAGCTGTTAGTCTGATGGGCTTCCCTTTGAGGGTAACCCGACCTTTCTCTCTGGCTGCCCTTAACATTTTTTCGTTCATTTCAGCTTTGGTGAATCTGACAATTATGTGTCTTGGAGTTGCTCTTCTCGAGGAGTATCTTTGTGGTGTTCTCTGTATTTCCTGAATTTGAATGTTGGCCTGCCTTGCTATATTGGGGAAGTTCTCCTGGATAATATCCTGCAGAGTGTTTTCCAACTTGGTTCCATTCTCCCCATCACTTTCAGGTACACCAATTAGACGTAGATTTGGTCTTTTCACATAGTCCCATATTTCTTGGAGGCTTTGTTCATTTCTTTTTATTCTTTTTTCTCTAAACTTCTCTTCACACTTCATTTCATTCATTTCGTCTTCCATCGCTGATACCCTTTCTTCCAGTTGATTGCATTGGTTACTGAGGCTTGTGCATTCATCACGTAGTTCTTGTGCTGTGTTTTTCAGCTCTATCAGGTCCTTTAAGGACTTCTCTGCATTGGTTATTCTAGTTATCCATTCTTCTAAGTTTTTTTCAAAGTTTTTAACTTCTTTGCCATTGGTTCGAACTTCCTCCTTTAGCTCAGAGTAGTTTGACCTTCTGAAGCCTTCCTCTCCCAACTCGTCAAAGTCATTCTCCATCCAGCTTTGTTCCGTTGCTGGTGAGGAGCTGCGTTCCTTTGGAGGAGGAGAGGTGCTCTGATTTTTAGAGTTTCCGGTTTTTCTGCTCTGTTTTTTCCCCATCTTTGTGGTTTTATCTACCTTTGGTCTTTGATGATGATGATGACGTACAGATGGGTTTTTGGTGTGTATGTCCTTTCTGTTTGTTAGTTTTCCTTCTAAGAGTGAGGACCCTCAGCTGCAGGTCTGTTGGAGTTTGCTGGAGGTCCACTCCAGACCCTGTTTGCGTGGGTATCAGCAGTGGTGGCTGCAGAACAGTGGATATTGGTGAACCGCAAATGCTGCTGCCTGATCGTTCCCCTGGAAGTTTTGTCTCAGAGGAGTACCCGTCCGTGTGAAGTGTCAGTCCGCCCCTACTGGGGGGTGCCTCCCAGTTAGGCTACTCGGGGGTTAGGGAGCCACTTGAGGAGGCACTCTGCCCATTCTCAGATCTCAAGCTGTGTGCTGGGAGAACCACTACTCTCTTCAAAACTGTCAGACAGGGACATTTAAGTCTGCAGAGGTTATTGTTGTCTTTTGTTTGTCTGTGCTCTGCCCCCAGAGGTGGAGTGTACAGAGGCAGGCAGGCCTCCTTGAGCTGTGGTGGGCTCCACCCAGTTCAAGCTTCCCGGCTGCTTTGTTTACCTACTCAAGCCTGAGCAACGGCGGGCACCCCTCCCCAGCCTCGCTGCCACCTTGCACTTTGATCTCAGACTGCTGTGCTAGCAATGAGCAAGGCTCTGTGGGCGTAGGACCCTCCGAGCCATGTGCGGGATATAATCTCCTGGTGTGCCATTGGTTAAGCCAGTTGGAAAAGTGCAGTATTAGGGTGGGAGTTACCTGATTTTCCAGGTGCCATCTGTCACCCCTTTCTTTGACTAGGAAAGGGAATTCCCTGACCCCTTGCACTTCCCAGGTGAGGCAATGCCTTGCCCTGCTTTGGCTCATGCACGGTGCACTGAACCCACTGTCCTGCACCCACTGTCTGGCACTCCCCAGTGAGATGAACCTGGTATCTCAGTTGGAAATGCAGAAATCACCTGTCTTCTGCATGGCTCACGCTGGAAGCTGTATACTGGAGCTGTTCCTATTTGGCCATCTTGGCTCCACCCCCCTGTACAGAATATTTCTATTGAATTTGAGACTGTCCTTTCCTTGGCTTTATATACATTAAACAGATGTGAATCTTAAAAATATAGATAGATAGATAGATAGATAGATAGATAGATAGATAGATATGGTTTGGCTCTGTGTCCCCACCCAAATCTCATGTCGAACTATAATTCCCAGGATTGGAGGAGGGGCCTGGTGGAGGTGATTGAATCATGAGGGTGGACTTCCCCTTGCTATATTTGTGATAGAGTTCTCATGACACCTGGTTGTTTGAAAGTGTGGGGCACCTCCCTCTTCACTCTTTTGCTCTTGCTCCAGCCATGTAGGATGTGCTGGCTTCCCCTTCCCCTTCTGCCATGACTGTAATTTTACTAAGACCTCCCTTAGCCATGCTCCCTGTATGGCCTGCAGAACTGTGAGCCAATTAAACTTCTTCTCTTTATAAATTACTCAGTCTCAGGTAGTTCTTTATAGCAATGTGAGAACAGACTAATACATATATGTTTGTTTGTAGGAGTATATGTGTGTTTATACATACATACATATGTATATCCACCTTCTTTCCAAAACACTTCCATATTTTGTGAGAGTACATAAATATGATATCAAAGTATATAAAAGTTAACAAAAAGGGGCAAGATGGACTTGGAATACTAGCCAGGGTACTTCAGAGTGACAGAACCAACAGGATATATCTGTATACAGATAGATGAGAGGGGATTTATTAGGGGAATTGTCTCACACAATTATGGAGGCTGAGAAGTCCCAGGACAGGTCAATTGCAAACTGGAGACCCTGAAATGCTGATAGTGTGGCTCAGTCCAAGTCCAGAGGCCTCAGAACCAGGGAAGCTGATGGGTGTAACTTTCATTCTGAGGCCAAAGGCCTGAGAATCCAGCGTGGCTGCTGGTATAAGTCCTGGAGTTCAAAGGCCAGGGGGCCCAGATTTCTGTTATCCAAGGCAGAGGATGAGCATATTCCAGCTCCAGGAGATAGATTGACACATTGGCCTTTTTAAAATTTTTGTTCTCTCCAGGTTCCTAGTAGATTACATGGTGCCTGCCCACATTAAAGATAGATCTTTACCTAGTCCACTCTGACCCACATGAGAATCTCCTCTGGAAAAACCCTCATAAACACACCCAAGATAATTCTTTACCATTTTTTCTAGATATTTCTTAATCCAATCAAGTTGATATCTAAAATTAACCATCACACATGATATTCAGAATGTTGATCACCTTAAGGTAGGAGAGGAAGTGAGATAGGAGGAATCATGGTCTGCTCAGTATGGGCTGCTGTCAGGGTGTCAAGGTCCTGGGTTTTGTTTAGGGTAGTGGGTACACTAGGGCTTAACACACAATTATAATAACTAACTAAACAAAACTAGCTGACTGTGTCAAAACAATGATGAGTGCATGCCATGACCCAAGATTATTATTAATTATTTCCTGGGCACCTGATATGGTTTGGATTTGTGTCCCCGCCTAGAGCTCATGTTGAATTGTAATCCTCAGTGTTGGAGGAGGGCCTGGTGGGAGGTGATTAAGTCATGGGGATGGATTACCCCTTATGTTCCTATGATGTGTGTGAGTTCTCACGAGATCTGGTTGTTTAAAACTGTGCAGTGCCTCTCCCTGCTCTCTCTCTCTCCTGCTCTGCCATGTAAGGATGTGTTGGCTTTTTCTTCGCCTTGTGCCATGATTGAAAGTTTCCTGAGGCCTCCTCAGCCATGCTACCTGTACAGCCTAAAGAACTGTGAGCCAATTAAACCTCTTTTCTTTACCCAGCCTCAGGTAATTCTTTATAGCAGTGCAAGAATGGATTAATACAGCACCTGAAATCCATAGGAAAAATAGTAAATCAAAATAAAAACTAAAGAACAATGAACAAACAAAACTCAAACTCAATTCTTGTTACTGTGAAAATGGAATTGCATAATATATATATAAACGGTGCACCATAGTGCTGGACATCTGGAGTGGGAATCTTTTTTCTGAAGAGCGTAAAATAAACCTGTCTCTTACATGTCCTTGGCCATCTTGAGGGTAACAGGGGTTCTGGTAGGAAGCCACTCATAGCAGTGCCATCAGAGTTCCACGTAAAGGCATGGGTGTGGGAACAAGACTCCTGTCCTGGAATGAGATGGAGCAGATCTGGAATCTGCAGGACAGGACCCAGGACAGGTCTAAGCAATTATCAGGAAGCAAGCCTAGGAACAGGGAGTCATGGTGAGGCAGGAATGAACACATGATAGGCACTGGAGCCTCGAGGGATTGAGTCACTTGAGTGAGGGGCACTAAAGCCAGGTAGGGTGAGCCCAGAGCACAAGCATCCAAGTGGGAAGCTGGGGCCTGAGACCTCACCTCCATTCTGCTAGGTACTACTCTGTGTTCTGTGGTGAATTCATTTCCTCTGTCCCCTTCAGTTTTTTTCCCATAGATAGAAAACATAAAATAAATATAAAATATACAAAACCATGTAATTTGTATATTTCAAAGAAAATAATATAATATAAATGAATATTATAATATGGAAATTTCCTCATTAGGTTGCCGTCAGCATTAAAAGAGTTAACGCTGGCCAGGTGCAGTGTCTCACACCTGTAATCCCAGCACTTTGGGAGGTGGAGGTGGGCAGATTACTTGAGATTTGGAGTTCGAGACCAGCCTGACCAATATGGTGAAACCCTGTCTCTACTAAAAATATAAAAATTAGCCAGCTGGTGGTGGCACACACCTGTAATCCCAGCTACTTAGTAGGCTAAGGCAGGAGAATCGCTTGAACCTGGGAGGTGGAGGTTGCAGTGAGCCGAGTTCATGCCACTGCACTCCAGCCTGAGCCACAGAGGGAGACCCTGTCTCAAAAAAGAAAAAAAAAAGAGTTAACACTTATGAAGCCCTTACATAGTGCACACACTATACAGAGGGAGTGCTGAATACATTTAAAATTCTTTTATTATTGGAATTACTATAAACTCTAAGTCGTTCTTTTATGGAATGCCCTTCCAGCAGTTTTGGATCATGTGTTTATTGGCACAGGAGAAAATGTCTAGCCCCAGATTTGACCCACTGTTAACGCTTCCCGGGGTAGCAGACTCCTCTCTGCTTTCCTAGGGTACTGTTGAGGGCAGAAAGTGAAGTGTTATTGAGACTAGTGTTCAGATCTAAGCTCTATCACTCACTTGCTCTGTGATCTCTGACAGCTTACTTCACTACTCTGAGCTTTAGCTTCTATCTTCGTGGCAAAAACAATGCAATATACTTTAAGATTTTCTGTAAAGATATTAGGTAATACAGGCAGTCTTCGCTTTGCAAGGTAATGTAAGACCATAAATCTGACTGCAAACAGTGTTAATTTAAATCAATGCAAAAGTTACGATTGTTTCATGACATATGAACATTTTTGTCAAAACATTCAAAACTTTCTTACTGTCACTTATAGATATATGAGAAAATAAAACTTAGTAAAACCAACATTATTTAGTAAACTGCACTTTAAAATATCAGAAACATGGAGAATTATGAGGTTTTATTTATTTGTTAGAAACCTGCCAAGAGCCTTTGAAAAGTGTTTGCTTTCTTTTCATCCCTTATGATACAGAGCAAGCATCTTTTCCATGCCTTGACATATAGCCATTCTCTTTGCTAAGACTGGATCAACTTCCAATGTTTTGTCCTTAGTGCTTTCCATGTTGTGAAACATCTCTGAGAGTCCTTTTAGTGGGAGATCTTTTGCCAGCCTTCCTTCCTCCAGGAAATGACGTCCTTTTTTGCCATTGATGTCAACTATCCTCTGTCCTGAGCTCCCCGACTGCACATCTGGAGTCTCTCGAAGGCTGAGTGTTCACGTTCCCTCTGTCAGCTATTTCTTCTACAACCTGATTTACATTTTATTCAATTTCACTTCCAGCATTATCACTTTCCATTTCCTTGCTGCACTTTTATCTTTGTTGGCCAATTCCCTCTTTTGATTACCAATGTTGCATATAGGAAAATAAAAAATAGTACCAAGCTCAATGGTAAAATATCATGCCAGTTTATCATGGGGGACAAGAGACAATATAACTACATGCTCTCCTGTCTGTGCATTGCAGAGTTTGTCTCCAGAACAACGACAACAACAAAAAACCCATGTGTAAATTTTCAGGCCAAACCATAGGCAATTACAAAGGCTTTACCTGGCAGACCTCAGGGGAGCGTTTTCCTCCCTACATCTGCACAGCCAGTGCTTTGCAGACACTGTAGGGAGTTTCAGTCAGGGTCTCACACCACCTGGGCAGCCATTTTCTTATGCATTTTTGCACTGCCAGCCCAGATGATTTCATTCCTATGTCTTTTTATCTAAGGTCCTCTTCAGGGGCCTCTGCTGAGGTCTCCTTATAGAGATGGGGAGGAGGCGGAAACCCTGAAGGCACTTTTCCCCATTCTAACTCACTACCCAGTATTTTTCCACTCCAAATCCTCCCTCATCTTTCCTCCTAGCCCCTGGGTCAGTAAAATTACAGGAGCCATTTGTTTGGAGATCCTTCAGCTGTGAAAATGATGCCCCAAAATGTCTATGCTGACCCTCGACTGGAACACCGTTCCACGGGAGAAAACAGAACAAAGGGGAGTCAGCACTTTTTCTGGTTCAGCCTTTTGCTTATACCATTGCAGTAAGTGATTAAAGCCTTGATTATGAATTCTGTTTTGGCTTGTTGCCTTGTATCAGCTACTCTGGCACCTGGCTACTCAGCTATGTCTCCAGCTAGACTAGCTCCTGACAAGTGTGACCTGAATAACAGGTGTTCAGGGCCAAACCACTGGCAGACTTTGCAAGAAGTGAAGTGATTGGTCACTGATCATGATGCACATCTAGTATTTATGTAGGGATGTGTGAACTGAAGAGCTAACAGTGAAGTCAAAGTCATTTTGTTGGAGGGACAGGTATTATATCAGCCATAGTAAATGGAATCTCTGCATGTCAGAATTGAGCAAAATGAGGACTGCCTTTCTGTGTACTTGCTTGATGTTAGTACCAAGCACATAGAAGGAATTCAATGCAATTTTGCTCTCTCCCTTACCCCAAATTCCTTAGGCACATCTCTGCCCATTCCATAATGAAGCCTCTGTGTCAGCCTGCATTCCAGGTGGCTAATGTTTCAGATGGACAGCCAATGAGCATTGCAGCCTTAACACAAGCATGAGCTCACCCCAGATGGAGTGTAGGGCCCCAGACGGACCTTCACAGTCAGCTCTGTTCTGTCATATACATCTATTTCCATACTCAGACATCAGTTTTAACTAGTTCAGTGTCCATCACTCACCCACACTTATGACTTCCTGACCTGGATCCCCTAAGGTGCAGTGCTATTCTGGTGACCCACAAGGGAACATCCTGGTGAGTTGGTGCCTTGATGAGAAGCTCTGTCTCCTGCACTGACACTGCACACATTCATTCCTGTTCTCCCCATGGAGATTTCAAGTGATGCACTACCTATTGTTTGATTGATTCATCGATTTCACTGAGTCATTGATTGATGTGTTCTTCTGTTCATTTTCAAATACATACTATTAATACTATTAATAGTAATTAATCAATTAATTAATTAATACTTTTAACCATCTAATATGTGTTGGGAACCATGCTTTGTAATTTACTGAAACAGATTTTGAACAGGTTTCTTTATCTTTCCATTTCTCCAAGTGTACAACAGGACAATACTAGAATCTTCCACCAGGGATGTGAGGGAGGCACAGGCCATGCATGGGATGGGCTGGGAACTGCTCCTGGCTATTAGGAGGCTCTGGAAGTGTCAGCCGTTGTTGCTGATCCTGTGGGGATCAGCCTCTGCCTGCAGGCCCCTCACATTCCGATATTCCTCAGTAAGCTCTGTTTTTGGATTCCTAGGGCAAATTGTGTTTGATGGTGTCTACAGCGAGCAGAACTGACACACAAATCTCTGAATTTGAAAGATGTTTTAAAATTGCATTTGAAGTCATCGCTGAGCATCAATATTTCACCCTGAAAGGAAACTGAAGCATTTTCTGTCTATGTTCAGAGCAAGCTAGGACATCCTTCTCTTTCACCTGACTTCTGTAACTGTGGTCCTCAGCAAGGATCAATCTCTGAGGCGAGAAAGCACAAATCATTTGCTCCAATTAAGGCAAACAGAGTGCAGGCTGCCAAGCAGGGCTCCAGAGCCTTGAAAGGGATCCTTTCAGGAGCTGCTAATCACAGCCTGCCCAGCTGCTGGCAGCTCCTCTGCAGGCGGCCCAGATCGATGCCACTCTCCAGCACTGCTAAGGAGAGAGAGCCTGGACAGCGCCTCCAGTCACCACTGCCACAGCCATCACTGCAGCAGCCAAAATGAGTTCACATTAGTCCACGGCAGTTTATTGAAGGCACAGTGCATGGACTGCATGGGAAAATGTCCACTGTCCCTAATGGGAATGTAGCTGCTGTGCAGAGGGAAGAATGTGTCCTGGGGCCACTTATTTGGTAAAGGATGGATTCCTCCCTCTCTGCCTTCATATTGTCTTCACAGACTCAGCTTTTTTCAATAGGCAAGAAAAACAGTCTGTCCAGAAAATCTTGGTGTAGAGAAATGTGTGAATGACAGGTGATATATCACAGGCTTTTCAGAATGTCAGAACAAAAGGAGATATTATTTTTGATCTTTTATTTGTATAAATTTATGGGGTACAAGGTGCAATTTTGTTACATACATAGATTGCTTGGTGGTGAAGTTAGGGCTTTTAGAGTATCCATCACCCAAACGATGTGCATTGTGCCCATTAAGTAATTTCTCATCAACCACCCACCTCCCATCACCTCACCCTTCCAAGTCTCCATTCTCCATTGTCTATTTCTTTTATTATTATTATTGTTATACTTTAAGTTCTAGGGTACATGGGCACAACATGCAGGTTTGTTACATAGGTATACATGTGCCATGTTGGTTTGCTGCACCCATTAACTCATCATTTACATTAGGTATTTCTCCTAATGCTTTCCCTCCCCCTGTCCCTTACCCCACAACAGGTCCTGGGGTGTGATGTTCCCCGCACTGTGTCCAATTGATCTCATTGTTCAATTCCCACCTGTGAGTGAGAACACGCAGTGTTTGGTTTTCTATCCTTACAATAGTTTGCTCAGAATGATGGTTTCCAGCTGGATCCATGTCCCTGCAAAGGACATAAACTCATCCTTTTTTATGGGTACATAGTATTCCATGGTGTATATGTGCCACATTTTCTTAATCCAGTCTATCATTGATGGACATTTGGGTTGGTTCCAAGTCTTTGCTATTGTGAATAGTTCTGCAATAAACATACGTGTGCATGTGTCTTTATAGTAGCATGATTTGTAATCCTTTGGCTATTTCTTAATTTTAGAGATGAGCAAATTGTGGCCAGAGAGAAGCGTCTTAAGGACTCCCTTCCCCCAAGAGCCCAGAATAGAATAAGAATGTTTATCACGGGGCAGGCTCTGCCAAAGATGTTCTATGGGAGGTGAGTTATGCTGGAAGCAGAAGCAAAGGTTTGTACTTAAAACAACAGGCAGAAAATCTTGCGTTGCACACACTAACAGAAGTTTCTTTCTTTAGGCAAATGCATATTTTGAATCTCTGAGAAAGGATTAAGTATGTATTATTTCATAAACTTAACTTTCCAAGGAATATTTTTTCCAAGAAACTCCCATTGGGAAAAACCTGATTCAGTGAAGTCACCAGGCTCAGACATTGGCTCGCACCCTGGTAAACCTTTTGCTGGTTGACCATTGTTTTACTTTTAAGGGTAAATGACTTAAGTATCTAATTTTTTTTTTTTTTTGCAAAATGAATATAAAATAACCAATTTTGAGTTGTTTTGATGAAGAACTAATTTTTAAAATGTGTAGAAAAGGAACAAAGACAATGCAATGTAAAATGGAATGATTTCACCAAATGATGCCAGAAGAACTGGACATCCACATGCAAAAAAAAAATGTATATATAGACACATACCTTATACCTTTCACAAAAATTAACTCAAAATGGGTCATTAGACCTAAATGTAACACACAAAACTATGAAACTCCTCGAAGAGAACGTAGGAGAAAATCCAAATGATCTTGGGTATGGTGATAAGTTTTTTTTCATGAATCACCAAATGTGTGATTCATGAAAGAAAAAATTGATAACTGGCATTTCTTAACACTAAAACTTCTGCTCTGTGACAGACCCTGTCAAGATAGTAAAAAGGCCACAGGCTTTGAGAAAATATTTGTAAACCATATATCTGATAAAGAACTTATATCCAAAATATTTTTAAAAGCCTCTTAAAACTCAACAATAAGAAAATAACCCATTTAAAAAAGAGACAAAAGGTCTGAACAGACACCTCAACAAAGAAGATGTACAAATGGGAAATAAGCATTTGAAAAAATAATTACCACCATATACCATTAAGTAATTGCAAATTTAACAACAATGAGATGTCACTATACACCCAGTAAATGGCTAAAATGTAAATACAACAGCAAATGCTGGTGAGGCTGTGGAGCAACAGAACCTTTCATTCATTCCTGGTACAAAGGCAAAATGGTATTGTCATTTTGGAGGATGGTTAGGCAGTTTCTTACAAAACTAAATATACTCTTATGATCTGATCCAGAAATCATGCTCTTTGGTATTAACCCAAAGGAGCTGAAAACTTACATCCACACTAAAATCTTGACAGAAGTGTCTAAACCAGCTTTCTTCATAATTGTCAAAACTTGGAAGCCATCAAAATGCCCTTCGGTAGGTGAATGGATAAAGTGTGGTGCATCCATACGAGGAAATTTTACTTAGTGCTAAAATGAAATGAGCAATCATGTAGTGGAAAAACATGGAAGAATCTTAAACGTGTATCACTAACTATAAGAATTCAAACTTAAAAGCCTGTGTACTTAAGATCAGTGCTTGCTAGGGATTCAGAAGAAGGAATGAATAGATGGAAGATAGGGAATTTTTAGGGCATTTAAACTTTTCTGTTTGATTCTGTAATGGTTGATACATGTCATTATGCATTTATCAAAACCCATAGAATCTACAACACAAATAGTGAGCCCTGGTGTACACTATGGACTTTAGTTTATAAGAATGTATCAATATTAGTCCACCAGTAGCAAATGTGCTAAAGTAATGCAATGTTAATAATAGGAAAAACTGTGGGGTGGGAGAAGAGGGAGAAGGTATATGGGAACTCTATACTTTCTACTCAATTTTTCTGCAAATCTGCTCCAAAAAATAAAGTTTATTAATTAAAACACAGAAAGGAAACAAAAAAAGATGTGTGTAAAGCATGTAATGCATTGGCAGGTATCCAGTAATGCGTTGCTCCTTGAAATGAATGAAGTAACTTCTCCCATGTCACAGATCCTGCAAGGAGTTCCCTCTGATTTTATTTCACCATATGGATGGCCAGAGTGCCGCTCTGCCTCAAGGATTCCAGGAAAAATAACAAACTAAAAGGAGTGTTAAGAGGGTGTAATCCCCTTGGAGGAAGTTCTGAAACATGGAAGAAATCAGACCTTTAGGTACGACACACTTGCCTGCTAAGTCATTTTGTGCATAGTTATTGGTTTGTCATTTCTGACTTCTTCTGAGCACATATTATGTCTACACTAGGAACTTCACTGTTAAGCCTTCCAGCATGAAAAATTTCTTTGATCTTTGGTTCATTGTAGGGCTGTGTCATTTTGACTCATATCACTGGTTTCTGACTAGTAAAAATGGTGCTGATAAAAGTGACAAATTCTGCTTTCACTTGAAATGAACTGTTTTGTCATCCAGCAGAGGACAAGTTATGGAACTTATTAAAGACCATGGGGGAGGCCCCAATTTCAATATGACACATTCAATCCATAGTTCAACTGCTCCTCTCTCGAAACAGCCCAGAGACAAGACCAAACAAATATAAAAAATGATATCTAAATATCCTAAAAAGTGCTAAAGAACAGAAAAGAGTGCCATCAATAGGCTATACATTTTGAGAATTTCTGTTAACTTTTGATTCTGTTGAGGAGCTCCCTGGGATCCAGTTGTCAAATGAGGTTCACACAAATCAGTTTCCCAGTGTTGGTCTCTGGGACTAATGTCAGGCATGCAGACAACCAGGAGGCTCAAACAAAGGCAAGAGCAGTTTGGGGCATCAAAGGAGGCTCTTCACATCCTCCCTTCCTCCTTTGGACATGCACCTCTGGACTACAATAGTAGATGAGGCCTCTAGGTGAGGTTTTCAGGATACTTTCCACAGCAGGAGGAGGATGTGAGTCATGGAACATCTCCAGATCATCTTACAGACAACTGTGTACCTATGAGACATTGTCTAGGAGCCAGGTCTCAGGTAATCTGTGTGTATTTACTCTAGGTTATCCCTTAGCTGTGTACTGGGAACATCCTGCTATGGGCATGCTGTAGATAAGTACTCTTTCCCCTTGCAAATGTTTACCCAGATTACAGTTGCCAAAGAGATTGGACTGGATGGTATGCTGTCTTCTATTCTTTCCCAAGGGCATCCTTCCCCCAGAGGGATGAGTAGATCACAGGCCAGCTGACTCCCTCGTGGTGCCTTGGGACAGAAAAATACTGATCAGGGTTGATCTTCCAGAATAAGCCAACAGTGTCCTACTAACCCACTGAGGAAATGTGGGACAAAGACCAGCTTTTTAAATAGTGGACAGAAACACCTTCAAAATCATAGCAACAAGAATGTGCCTCAGCACGATTACTCAAAAAGCAGAGATGGATATTGCTCTAGGCTTGCTTGTGTTCTCCTAAAATTCATATGTTGAATTGAATTTCATCACCCAAAGTGACGGCACTTGCAGATGGGCCTTTGGGAGCTAATTATGTTGAGATGAGGTTGTGAGGGTAGTGCCCTCATGATGAGGCTACAACCCTTATACAAAGAGTCACCAGAGAGCTTGCTTTCTCCCAATCTCCACCATGTGTGGACACAGGGAGAAGGCAGCCATCTGCAAACCAGAAAAAGCCCTTATTGGGGAACCGAATCAGCCTGTACCTTGATCTTTGACTTCCCTGCCTCCAGAACTGTGAGAAATGAAGTTCTATTGCTTAAACCAGCCAGCTTGTGGTTGTTTGTGATGGTAGCTGAAGCTGACTAGCACAAATATGAATTTTCAACCTGCAAGCAGCTCTCATACCCATATTTCACTTTTCTTGCTACATAAGGTGCGGATTTGTGGGGTGGCAGAAACATGAGCAGCACAGCCATATAGGGAAGGAAGAATACCTTGTGCAACCTCAGGCCACTATTATTAGATTCAGCTCAGAGGTTACATAGTCTAAATAGTCCCGTCTCCAAAGCAATGCCTGCTCTACTTCCCAACAATGACAACCTCTCTGGTAGCTCCACAAATCACCAGCAGGGGCTGGACACATGAGAGCTTGTAAGACAGTGACCAGGGTGCAACACTAGGGTCTCTGAAAGCCCTGCATGTGGAGATGGGACTCTGGCCTAGTGGGTTGTTGAGAGGATGAGCACCCTGTGGGGACTGTGATGCCAGACTATGTAGAAGAGGAACCTGAGGTGGCCAGCAGCGAGAGGGGTTCTGATCAAACCAGACCTCTATATGCATTTACACAAGAAAAGAATCCCTCATCACTTTAGGAGAATCAACAACTTAGAAGAAGCAAGCTAGACTGATCAAATGGAAAGAAACTATCCAAAAGTAGTAAAAAACAGTTATTACTCTCAGTGAGATTTATAGAGTGTGGCACCCAGATAACAAGAACAAGCAGCTATGAAGAATGAAAATAACTAGAATGTTGAAAGCAAGAAAGAATTCTTGTTATTCCAACTTGTGATTAGTAAAATTAGAAAAACCATGGAGTTTAATGAACTTTGCAGAAAAATGAAATAATGATTTAGGACAGTTTTTGGTAAACCTCAGCCTGTGAATGAAACTCAGGGGTACTTTTTGTATATCCCTTAAGTGTATGTGGATAAATGTAATATATTGGGCATGGTGTCCATTTGAAAGGAGCTCCAAAGTGAGAGAACAGAGGATACAGAAAGGAAGCAATAAAGCAAAAAATAAAAAAATAAAAAAATGCCTACTAAAGAAATGTAGATGAGTTCATGTCAGAAGGGCTCATTTAAGGACGATTGGAATATATTGAAGGGAATCACATACATAGATATGTCATACATCAGGAGAATTCCAGAATTTTAAAATTAAAAGAAAATCCCACAAGTTTCTAATTCAAAAGAAAAATATGTCACCAAGTAACATGAAAAAAGTCAGTATCTCCAGCCTTATCATCCTTAGCACCAAATGCCTTAGGGCAACAGATCAATACTCAAATTTCTAAAGAAAGCTGGATTTTAATCCTAAAATTTCATATCCATCCAAGTTATTATTCACTAGTGACATCAGAAGAAAATATTTTAGGATTAGCAAGAACTCAAAAACTATTAGCTGCCATTTACAATTTCTGAAATTAATTACTCAAGCAAGTACTCCAAAGAACTGATGGAAGAATTATGATAACATGTTCAAGAAAAGTGGAAAGTGATGTATACAAAACACACTGGTGGTCAATGAAGAAGTTGATAAGAGTAAATGATTCGGGGCGTAACTGCTTAAAGGTGGCAGAGTGAAGACAGTGAGGAAAGCCCTTGGTGGCCATGTTTTCCTGCCCAGCAGGCTTGCTGCCATGTGTCTTCTCTGGGTTGCCTCATGGGGATGGGGGAAATTAGAGTGTTTCCAGGAGGTTGGCCCTGGATTCTGACTGCTTTCTGTCTTTCTTGAGGAAATGGCCCATGTCTCACCTTCCATCCCGCTGTCGGCCGGTGCCATAAGAGCAAAGAAAGCTGCTTTGCTAGTGTTTGGCTGCTTCTTGGAGTTTCCCGCTCATCTTTTTGTGGGATGAAGATGCCTACTGAGTGACAAAGACACTCTGCTGATAGCGCATTATTAATAATTCCAACCATGACTCCTCTCAATTGATCTCCTGTCCGCAACTTCCTTAATTATAACTTTTACTAGGTAAGGTTCTCAGAGAAAGCAAAAGGGAACAGTTTTCACTTGCACTGGTCAATGTCATGTTGGCAGAAGTGATTTATTATGAAAATTTCCAATGGAAATGTCCCCTGCTGTGCAATGCATCACCCCAAGCTAGCATGAAACTCTGCAGTTAAAAAAAAATCTGTTGTAAGAGGTCTGACTGGCTCCCCCTGGGTAAATGAGATGAATTGGTGCTTCAGTCATAAGACTGGGGTTCCGATTTGGAGTCAACAGTTTCCCATCAAGGGCTTGGTGTATGTCAGTCATTAGCTATATACATTTGCTTACATGAGCTTATTTAGGCTTCTAAAGAACTGCATGATGTAAATTTTACTACTTTCATTTTATCACTCAAACCATAAAGGCATGGCATGGGGAGTGTTACTCCCCTCCTTTACCTTCCCCCACTGTAATTTTCCCAGGACCACATACCTTCAAACACTGGTGAAGATAAGATTTAGATACTGGTCTGAATTCTATTCTAACATATGGATGTAGCCTTAGGCAGCAACATGGAATTTCTTTTCCCCAGATTCTTGTCAGGGAACATAATCTCAAACTCTTTGCCATGTATTTTCCACGTAGGGGTACATGTCCATATTCACAGATGATGGTTTGAAGACTCTCAGTTTGCCCATTCCTCTAGCTACCCCCATTTGACTGTTGGATTAAGTCAGACCACAAGGGGGTGGCATGCTTGGGAAATGGTGAACTGGGCCCTCTGCCAAACTAGACTGTCTTACTTGCATTTTTGGTTTGTGTCATAATGGTATCATTGTGTATAATTTACTTACTGAAAGGCATGGAACTTGCTGCTATATTTCCAGTTGGAAAATTGTGGAAGGTGTTGTTTGCTACATCACACAGGATTCCATTTATGAGTTTCCAGCAGGCAGTTGGAGGATTGGGTCTAGAAGCTGGCAGTGTGTAGAGATGGGGAAGAGTGCACTCAGAAATACTTGGGGTTGGGGTGTATCTTTACAATTGTTAAGGAACAGGAGGTGGTGCCAAGTGGAGTTGAGGTCTTGAAGAAAAGTGGATACTGGAGAGAAATCAGGGAATGCAACCAGTCACAGATGAAAATATAAAGACTGGGCACTGAAATTGATGCAAGGTTGAAGTGAATACAAATGCATGGGTCTTTAAGTCTGAAAGCCTGAATTCAACTCAAGGGACTTGAATTTTCTGAGCATCGGTTTTCCTCCTATAATATGGGGATAGAACACCAACATACAGGATAGTTTTGAGGATTAAATGAGAGTATTCATGCAAAGTACCTGAAATAATGATTATGACATAGCCAAAGCTAAAAAACATAAGGAAAAGAAATCATAGGCACTATCACACCCATGTGTCTGGGTACCAGAGCAGAAAATCTAAATGTATGCCTGCCTTTGAAGAGTCTCCTTCTACCTTTCTTTCTCTCTGGACTGGGGCACCTATATGGTCTGAAATGTAGTAGGGTCAGAAAATGGCTCTAGGTGCAGCAAGAAGGGTGGCAGGACCAACCACTCATACACACCATCTCTGCTTGTTGTTCCACTGCACCTTACTCGTTTCCCTCACATGAGGTCATTTCGGGAGAGCAACCACAGAACTCCACTGCTCATATTCTGAAGTACACAAGCGTGGGAGAAATGGCTGTATGGGGTAAAATACTGAAATTGGAAAAGAAATATTTGTCTTCCCATGGGAGGTAGCCCCTGGCACTGGTAACACACATTTAGTGTGTTTTCTTCCTCCAATTACTTCCTCTCCTTGGATTCTCTCTACTGTTTATGCTTTTCTTCTTACTTAATTCTTTTATTCTCACTTAATTCTTCTTACTTCATAAGCTGGTACAGGTACAATGACATTCATTTAAATAATTAAATTCCTCTTCTATGTTATAGTTTCCATTTACTGCCTCAGAAATCAGACTATACTAATTCATCACAGAAGGAAATGTAATTAATTGTTCCGATTTAATTTTAGTTATGAGAGATCTAGTGCTAAAATGAGACCCTACAGAACATAATGCTTGAGGAGAGAGAGTAAACGTTAATGTTCTCATTCCTCTGTGTCTCAAAAGAACTTTGGTTTGATAGTTGCCTACTCTGTAACAAGAACTGTGTAGGGAATTTCACACACATGATCTCAATTTTTGGTCACAGCCTTTTGTGAAGCTGAAGCAGTTGTTATCATTTCCATTTTCTAGATGAGGAAACAGGATCACAAAAGTCAAATAATTAGAAAGTGGAGAAAGCAAGATTTGAAGGTATATCTCTTTGATTTTAAAAGATGTTCATTTCTATTTACGATTGTCAAAAATAATATGAATACAAAAGCCTGTGATGTTATGAAAATTTTATGACAAATAACACATGTTTATGAATGATAGGATAACTGTAGGGCTCTGTGGGGTTGGCAAAAAATGAACAGTGTAACCTCTGCCATCCAGATAATATTTTTAATTGATAATGTTCATTACACATTTTAAGGAGAATACTAAGCTCAACAATAGGTTTTATGGAACTC